>NC_000013.11:74771742-74923257 GCF_000001405.40 Homo sapiens | reverse complement strand
GAGCTGGAGTGTTACAGCTATTTCACTCCCACAGTTTGAGTTCTGGGTTCTTGTCTCACAACCAAGAAGAATAAGGTATGCAGACACTAGAGAGGGGATAAGGCAGAGTATAATTTATTGAGTGAAAGAAAAGGTCTTGACAGCAAGTGTGGACCCCAGAGTGGCGAGCTGTGTGTGAGGCTGAGTTTGGGGTTTTTAGTGGGCTTAGAATGGGGGAGTGCATGCTGATTGGTTTATAGGTAAGCTTGGAAAAGTCACCATTTGTTTGGTTCTTTCTGAATGATGCCTTTTAACCAATCAAGAGAGTGGGTAAGACAAGGATGGAAGTTCTCATTCTTGTCCATAGATTCTACCTAGAACTGGTAGCTAGGTTTCAGGCTTTAAACTCTCCTTGGCTTGAAGGTCCAGTTTCACTGGAAACCCATCCCTGTCTTCCTAGGAATTTGTCTGTCTCCTGTCTCTATCAGTCGCATTACTACCATCTATATTTATATGTATTTATATACATATTTATGTGGGTTTTCATGTATGGGTTCTTAAATATTTATATGTATTTCTTTTTTACTTTTTTTCTCAGATACCACAACGTTCCTTTTGACTAAACAGCTTTTCCCAGGCAGATATTTTTTTTTCTTGAGTCAAGATGACAAAGTACCAAAATTGAATGCAGCTTTTTGATAATATAGCTAGAATTCTAAACAGTGATAAAAGGAGTTTGTAAAAAAAAAAAAAAAAAAAAAAAGAAATATGATGAAAAAGTGTTTTCTCATTTTACTGTCAGAATAATCAATTAAAAATGCCTGTTTTCTAAGAGTTTACCTGGCAATAAATAAGTCCTGATTTTTTTTCTCCAGAAAGATAATATATGTATCATTTGTTGCTGAGTAACTATGAAACAAGGGAACAGTTTACTTATAGAAAAGATATATCGCACATTTGTATATCATGCCTGGATAAAGAGACTTAGAGGGAAAGTTATTATCCTGAAAAATCCCCTGATAATCACCTTACAGTTGCATCTGAAAACTTCAAGTGTGGAAAAATTGATGTGCTAAACTTGTTCATATTCTGTTAGTGACAGGTGAATGCCTTTTATAGCTCGTGCTTGCTGTGGCCTCCATTTGGAGGTTGGACTGTTCCTGATAACCAGTTTTGAATAACAATGGAAGCATCAAGCCAGATTGTTCCTGTACTTGGTGGGGAGGGGTTTTGTAGAGGTTCACTTTTCTCTTAGTGTGCTTCATAGCTTGTGAATGTATGATGTGGAGTCTTCCCTATTTTATGTTATTTCACAAGTCATTATACTTTAAGGGTATTTATGTAGCCTCATTTTGCTTTTATGCATTCAATCAATTAGAACCATGATTTCATTTAAATACCTGGATGCCTCATAAATTCAGCTCTGCTAGAACCAAAGCAAAATCTTAGAGAGTGCAATGGTGTTCGTATGGAGCCAATTAACACCTAAATATGTTTTATTTTTCAGCAAACACTTAGTGGCTATTTGACAAACATATACAGTATATCATTCTAGTACTGTTATCTGACATATATGGCACATATATATGTATATGGGATGGTGTGTATATGTGAATTACCACATCATTTCTAATCTAGCTCTTTATTAGTCAATGGTTGGCTCCTGTGTGTGTTTATTTTTCTGTTGTACTTCACATCACACTGAGTGCTACTCTAGGTTTTCTGTAATCACTGAGCTCCATGGGGCCCAGGCTACTTTCAGATTGACCAAGCCTTCATCTTGGTGCTTCTTTCTATGCCTACTGCCCCCTGGGAAGTCCCTGTGAATGGGCACCCATCTCATCCTCCCAATCTTTGAGGCTTCTGTTTCCTGTGGCATCCACTGAATTACCAATTTCCTTTGATTCCAAGAGGAGATTAGCTAGTCCAATAAAGTGTTTACATGAGACTTTAGAGACACAAGGATACTTAATGTTAATTTAGACAAAGTGCTGCATTTGGGAGACAAGGAAGGTAAGGCCCAGAAAATGGGAGTAGCATGACCAAAGTCAGAGTTCACAGAAGTAACTCACAGCCCAGAAGTAACTCACAGCTGGGGCTACTGCACCCCAGCCTAGTTCTACTTGCAGGAAACCACAATTCACGCCTTCTTAGGCTTGATGGAATTTGTAGATAGGTAGTATTTATATAAACGTGAACTCTCTTCAACAACAACTTGGAGATGGTCAGTCCAGATAGCTGCACATTGTCATCAACTCGCCAGCCCTCTTTTGTCTTTCTGTTATACCACTCTTAACATATTCTCAAAGTCACACAGGATTATAGAAGTGTCACTGTCATTCATTTTACTTATAGTCTCCTAGACCAAGGCTTTAACCCCTAGTGGAAACTCCAAAGGGTGAGAACTTCAGATTCCTATGGCAAACTGGACAGGCCCATGTCAACCTGAAAACACACACACACACACACACACACACACACTAGAGAAAATTTTCTGTAAATATGTTTTGTTTACTCAGGAATATAAATAAGGATTATAATCCAGACTGCATGAAATGGCAAGGCATTCCGTGAGGGGAAGGCTAAAGGGAAGCTTTTATTCGCAAAAAGAAATTTGCATAAGCTGCTTAGAAACAGAGTTCACTGGCTCTAGAAGTTCAAAGCCAGAATTGTCAGTTCACTGGTGGAGATGTCATTATTCCTGGGCAAGTGTTCTTCCGAGAACATCTTATCTGAATAACTGCAGTCCTGAAGCATGTGTAGTGATAAAACTTATCAAAGGAGGAGATGTTTGATCGACATGAGTTTTTAGGAAGTCCTTGGACACAGTTCTTATCTCAGACATGTAAGCATGAGCCTCCCTTCCTTTGGGCTTTCATAGCTCTGTTTTGTCCAGGTCTGACAAAAAGGATTTCATTCTGGTAACTGTGTCTTTCATACAAGTATTTTAAAAGTAGATTTGGGTGTGTTCCAATCCCTTAAGTTGTAGTAGAGGAGGGTGGTCTTTTACCCTGGAAAAAGCCCCTGCTCTGTGGGGTATCAATATGCCCAACTGCCAATTGACATTTCTCAGTCCTCATTGCAGATGGGAGGAGGTAGGTTGTGAGATGTGTCAGAGAGTCACTTGGTGAGGGTTTTAGGAAAACACTTACACAGCTACACAGCAATATTTCTCTTTTCTCCATTCATTGTGATCCCTCAGTGACAGTTCTGTAATCCTGTATGACTTTGAGAATATGTTAAGAGTGGTATGACAAAGATAAAAGAGGCCTGGAGTGTTGATGACAATGTGGAGCCACCTGGACTGCCCATCATTGTAATGAGTAAAAAATAAGCTTGCCCCTTGTTTAAACCCTGTTGTTTCATGTCTTTGCTGCAAGCAGCTGAATGCAGTTTCCACCTGGCACAGTCACATTTCAGGAGCACATTTGTTTTCTCACTCTTCTCTCCAGCACCCTACCTTGACTCCGGTAGTCCTTTAGAATGCTCATATCTCTATAATTCAGAAAATATGAAAAAAAAGAAAACAACAAAAAACCCAGAACTAAATCCTTTCCTTATACCACTTCTGATTTTGGAAATCTCCCAATTCCTTATAGCTCTCTAGAGCCACTTTTCTCAAAAAAAAAAAAAAAAAAAAAAAAATATATATATATATAGTATACTACTATATACTAAATTCTGTCTGCTTTCCCATCTCCCATTCCTTTTTAAAAATGTGTCCATTTCTTTAGCAATTTAGCTATAAAATAAAGCTCTTATTTTTGAATAGTTAATATATATATCTATTTGGTACAAAATTCAAAAAGTAAAATATAGCCCTGTTCCCATCTGTGTCTCTCCATTCCATTTCCTTCCATGGAGTCAACTAAATTGCTAGTTATTTTTATGTATATATTCTTTCAGAGTTATGTGCCAATGAAAGCATACACATAAGTGTTTTACTTCTTAAAAATATTTTTTCACGTGACAGCATACTATACACACTGTTCTATACTTAGGTTTTTCACTTATACATCTTGGAGATTGTTTCAGAGTTGACTCTTGTTTTTTTAACAACCATAGAGCATTCCATCATCTAAGGGGCCAAAATATGATTATTTAATGAATCTTATATAGATGGGCATTTAGATAATTTCAGATATTTTTATTGCTAGCAACACTATAATACATGTCCCCATGAATATTTTCCTAACACATATAGGTATATCTGTGGAATAAATCCTATAGTGTCCCAGTTTTAGTTTTGGTAACTATTACCTAAATGCCCTGCACAGAGGTTTTACAAGGATATGAAATTAAAGTTTATGTGATTGATATATTTAATTAGCCATTTCTTTAGAAGTTATTGAATGACTTTGTTTTTGAAATAAAAAAAATTGTGATATTGATTGTCCCTTCTTCCTCACCACTCCCAACCACTTGATTTTTGTTGATTATATTTCTTTATCATTTTATACCTTTAAGTATATTTCTGCCTTCATTATTTGGTTTATAAACTCAATGATATATATTACAACTTGGTTATAAAAGATGAAGTCTGCATACATTATGAACTTCCACTTCCTATCCTTCTTTTTCCAACTTTTACTGGGTTTATTACATTTACAACCTGTCCTATGACCACAACCCTGACACTTATTTTAATCTTAGTCTGATGCTTAAAAAAATCAACAACTATAGCTAGTTCTTTTCCAATAGGTTTCTCTTCCTTAAGTAAAATTTTTATTTATTAGTTTTTATCAAGAAGAGCTCCTGGAAACTCTATTTTCAACTACATTTATTCTCAAATGATAGGAAGTTAAAATATTTTGGGGTCTTGTTTTTCATTGAAAACTCAAGTACTTTTCCACTGTTTTCTGGCATTGAATGTTGCTGTGAAATCTGAGGTTGACCTGCTTGCTTTTTAACTTTCTCTTAGTTGGAAGGAGCCCTCCTAGGATCAGAAGAAATATCAAACAGTGACCTCAGCAACTATTCCTTCAAAGGGGGCAAAGTTGATTTGATTCATTTGTGGAGCAATTTGTGCCCTAGGACATTGTTGAAAACAATAGAGCTCTTTATGTTTCAGGGATTAATCTTTTGTTTTGCAAATATTTCCCCAAATTTGTATTTCTCTTTCATCCTTATTTATGATACATTTCTATATGGAAGTTTAAAATGTTTATTTAGAGAAAATGGATACTTATTTCATGGTTTCTATTTTTTTATGAGATACTTAGTAAAGCCTTTTCTGCAATGAAAAAAAAAAAAAGGTAGCTTGATCTTTTTGTCTGAATGGCTACTTTCTTCTCATTCCAATAGCTTTACTAGGTAGGGTATCTCTTGGTGTACAGCCTTTTGTGTTAATGCCCCTGTGAAAATATGTCCTTTAATGTCTATAGATTCAAGCTTTTTTTTTTTCTGGCAAGGTTTCTTGAGTTATATCTGTAAATATTTTTATGATCTACCATTTCAATTCTTCTCTTTGGGATACTCATTATGCATATTTAGATATCCTTATATGCTTTTTATGTCTGCTATTTTTTTCTACATTAATTTTTAACTATATTTCTTTGTTGTACTTGCTCTTTTTTCCCCTGTACTTTATGATTTTCACTATGTTTTCACAGTGTCTATTTTCCTTCTTGGTCTGTTATCAACGTCCCAATTTTTCTGTGATCATAACTGTGAAGGTTTTATTTTTCTCTCTACAAGCTGTTGTATTTCCTTGTGTCACAGCTTCCTTGGGCTTTTATGTCCCTACTTTGAACTACTACCTTTTACCAGCTCTGTGAACTGGTAATTTTTCAGTGCCTTAGTTCTTTATCTCAGAATGGGGATAGTAATCGTTCTATTTGATAGAGATGTCGTGAGGACCAATGAGTTAACTTATTTAAAGCACTTAAAATAGTGCCTTATACATGGAAAGCACCTTATAAATACTTGCTATTATTATATTTGTGGTTCTAGAGAGGCAGCTCATTTAAGAGTTTTTATTTTTTGATTCAGAGAAATCTGGTCCTGGTTTCTATCCACTCATTTTTCTCGTGGGTTTTTGTTTTCCAGTCTAACAGCTGGTTCTTTGAAAACAAACATACCTGTATACGATAAAGTATATACATCACTAAGTGGCCTAATCAAGGAAAAATGTGAGTGAATGTTAAAATGGAATACCAGGAAATAGCTAGAGATGTAAAAGAAACTTAAGAGTCGGAAAAGTATACTTTGCAAAACTGCATACAAACACATTTGAAAGAATCTACAGATCAGAGAATTATCTGAAAATATATTTTATCTAAATGAGGGCAGAAAGGGAGGAAAAATCCAAATAGATGGATAATCATAGAGGAAATTGATTAAAATCAGGCCTCAAATGATTTCACATGTAAGTATTTTTAAACCTTCAGGGTTTGCTTTTTGTCTGTCTTTTTAACGACATGCAGAAGAAAGAAAAATCTTCATTTTTTCATATTTTAATAGGAACAGTATCACTTTGAAATCTAAACCTGAAAATAACACACACTTTCACTCACACACATATGCATAAACATTTTGGTTACAGCAGCAAGTGTAGGTGCCACCACTATTACAAAACCTTTAAAACTACAGAATGTGCTTAAGTATGGGATTAAAAGAATAAAGCAGCACCAATAATGGGGTTTATCTCAGGAATACAGTAATGCTTTACTATTAGAAGGTATGCTAATACAATTCACCATATTAATAAGATAAAAATCATATCACTTCAATAGTGTCTCCAAAAAGCATTTGATAGAACAACTTCTATTGCCTAAAACTTGTGTGAATATTTTTATATCCCTTCCTGGTATGTGTGTGTGATAGATTTAGTGATAGTTATTTATAACATATATGTATAAATATCTTAAATATATAACCTAAAACACGTATATCCACGTGTGTGTCTGTGTGTGTACGCGCGTGCATGTAGATCAAACAGAAGCCGTTATGCTTAATGGCAAACACTTAGGGGATGTCCTAATGCCAAGTAAAGTATGCTTTCATCACTTCTATAACTTTTTCTCTCTGGAATTGTGAACTGATACAACTGAACAAGAGAAAAATAAGTAAACATGTTAGAAAGTAAAGTTAAAAGCATCCTATGTAAGTAATGTGTTTTAATAATTGAAGAGCATCAACTGAAAATCTATTAGAAACAAGAAAATAATAGTGCTAGTTACAAACACACCCACACATCCACACAGAAACATATGTACACAAAATTGCAACAAAACACCAAAGAATAAGTTGAACGAGAAATACGTAAGTTTAAGTAAAGAACCTTAGCTATCCATTCATTTATTAAATAATTGAAAAATATACCTTATTCTTAGAGAAGATTGAATAGTATATAAGTTATAAAAAAGGCAATTCTCGCTTTTATTTATAAGTTAAATGAGATCTCAGCTAAAAATAACCTCAAGATTAGAAAAACAAACATGAGAGGCTGGGCATGATGTCTCATACCTGTAATCCCAGCACTTTGGGAGGCCGAGGTAGGTGGATCACCTGAGATCAGAAGTTCAAGACCAGCCTGGCCAACATGGTGAAACCCTGTCTCTACTAAAAATACAAAAATTAGCCGGGTTTGGTGGCGCATGCCTGTAATCCCAGCTACTCAGAGGCTGAGGCAGGAGAATAGCTTGAACCCGGGAAGCAGAGGTTGCAGTAGCTCGTGCCACTGTACTCCGCCTGGGCGACAGAGACTCCATTTCAAAACAAAACAAAACACCAAACATGAGAAAATTATATAAATCTTACTTGGAAAAATTAAATATAACAGTGGCCATAAAATTGCCTCAAGGAAAATAATGAGAGACTTACAGAAATAATTAAAATGCTAAATTAATTAAAACTTTGTTTTTATACTGCAAAAGAAATAGATATGTGAATATGCCAAAATTTGATATTCCAGAGGTAGAACCAAACATGAATCCAATTTATGATAGTATCTTTAATCAACAAGTAACCAGGGATTTCTTCTACTTCTATGTCACCAGTTTACTCTATGCTTGTCCATATTATATTTAACTTTATTTTTTCCTCTTTTTCCTCTTACTCATTTTGTTATGTTGTGGTCATTGCTTTTCAAAGGAATATTCTAACACTGATTTAAATTCCTTCAGCAAAAGTCTTCATGAATATTTTATTTTATCACATTATTAAAGAATTAATGTTTTCTACTATATAGTAGCTGAAGTAAGTAGGAGAGAGAGACCAGTACTAATTGAAAGCTGGGGAGCCAGCCTTACTTCTGAAAGGTGGGATGACTGGTCAGATAGCTTAAATGCTCCTTGGCTTTGAATGTGACCCCATCTCTATAACAAAGGTGTACTGTAACCTACGTGTGACAGTTCTTCTAGTAGAGGAGTTTGGGAAGCAGAGCCCCTGGTACAGTGTGAAAACAAAAACCACAGATGTACACAGTTACTTTCACTTCTAACATTTCAGAATTGATTATTTTAAGTTTTTCTTCTTGAGAATCATTTCTAGAAATAAGGGAACACTGACTCAGAAAAGTCCCTCTTATTTTTGTTTTTTTGAGGATGATTTGTCATTAAATTAAGCTACTCATATGTACATACTAAATTTTATATGAAATCTCATAATGCAATTTTATGTTAACTTATTCACTAATTATATAATAAAATTGCTAGAATAATTATCCAACTCATATTTTATTAATGCTTAATTAAAGATATAGCTTAAGTAATTGTGGCACATTACAGTACTAGTGAACCAGAAACTTATAATAAACAATACAATGACAGAAAATTACTAGGTAGAATACTTTAGTTTTATGGATCTTTTAGCTGAATTCATAAATAGATTACATTATTTTTGGATGCCTTTTCGTTCCTTATTAACCCTTCTTTTTTTAGAGACAGACTTACTCTGTTGCCCAGGCTGGAGTGCAATGGCACGACCTTGGCTCACTGCAACCTCTGCCTCCTGGGATCCAGCTATTCTCCTGCCTTAGCCTCCCAAGTACCTGGGATTACAGGCACCTGCCACCATGCCAGGCTAATTTTTGTATTTTTAATAGAGATGGGGTTTCACCATGTTGGCCAGGCTGGTCTTGAACTTCTGACTTCAGGTGATCCACCCACCTCGGCCTCCCAAAGTGCTGGGATTACAGGTGTGAGCCCCTGCACCTGGCCCCTTATTAACCTTTCTAAATAAATTTCTGCCATGGGTATAGTATATTCATAAAAGTGGCTTTCACTGACAGCCTTAAAACAGGTATCCACATGGCCTTTGGGTTTTTTTTAATCCAATTTTTAGATCTTATGTCAATAGTGGTTTAGAAATAAATTGAGAGAAAGATTGACAAAAAGTCATAAATTGAATAACCACCAGGACTTTGGTTTAGTGGCCTCAGGAGGTGTTGTGACTTATTGAATTATAACCTTAAGCAGAATTAAATGGTAGCTTCTTTTGTATTTTCCTGCCAGTCAAAAACACCAGACTGTAGTTCACACTGCAGGCCAGAACACAATGATTGTTTGCAATGTGACTCCATATTTTTTAACATCATCGGTCCCATGCACTGTGTGATAACAAAGTAAAATATTAAGCTGATTATGTAGACAATAGTGAGGAAAGTTTATTGTTCTAGGTTTATCCAGGTAGTTGCCTTACTTATTTATATTTCACTTTGACTTGCATAAGCCAACAGATTCTTTAGGAAAATAAGTGGATCAAATAATAAGCGAAAAGCAAAATCAAATGCGTTACCTAAAGAATTACAAATTAGACCTGACTCTATAATTTTGCCTAAAGAAAACTATTATGTAGAAAGTTATTGTCACTGATCTGGCATGTCAGAGCCTGCAATAGCTTTCTTCATCTGCAATTCAATATATGAACTTTGGGAAGAACCAAATCTTATTTGTTTAATTCCTCTCTTGAAGTGGGAAGGTTATCGCCCCCTGAAATCTTCTGGGAATGAGGGAGAAATGAATTGATACTAGAAGTAGCTCTCACTGAGCCCTTCAGGGTGTGTTCCACCCGATTCAGTTCCAGTTGGCGAGGCAGAAGGAAAGCATGCAAAAATAGAAAGGAGTTTCCAAATGAAAGTTGTTTAGAAAAGTAAGATACCTATGTCTGACTCTGCAACTCATCATGCCCTGATCATTTACAATATTGATGTTGATTTACATGGGGTGTGACTTATGTGCCTGCAAATGAAAGATGATGCATGGTTTACATTAGTTGACATTGAAAAAGCTGCATATGGCTGGCTCAGGATACATGGTATCATCTTTGTCAGGACTTCTTGGCAACTCTTTCACCTAATTAGCACAACACTTCACAGTTTTATTCACAGCTGTAATGTTCACTGTAAACTTCTTTCATTATCTCTTTATCCCTCCAGCTTTTTTCCCCCAACAAGTTAATTATGTTTACTGAAATACTTAGGATGTGGTAGAAAATGGTACACAGTCAAATACAGCCTTGCCACCCTCAAGAACTGTCCTGAAAGCAGAAGACCAAATACACATGGGCCAAAGGGAAAAAAAGTTTGACAAAACAGATTCTTCAGAGTTACCTGGACCTTTTTAGACATTTCTGGGAAGAGATGGGTTGACAGGTATATCGAGGTTAACCTAGAGAACTCCTGTATTTCTTGGGTATTTCTAAAATGAGCCCAGTCATCCCAGAGATTCCTAAAGTAAGAGTAATAGACTGAAAAACAGGGCTGCAGATCCTTCTTTGTGTTTTTTTTTTTTTTAAATGAAACTTTTATTAAGATGATTGTAGATTTACATGAAGTTGTACAAATAATAAATACAGAGAGACCTCCTGTATCCTTTATCTGGTTCTCCCCAGTGGTGACATTTTACAAAACTATAGAACAGCATCACAACTAGGATATTGGACTTGATCCAATCCATGAATCTTATTCAGATTATTTCAGTTTAGCTTGTACTCATTTGTGTGTGCATGTATTGGGGGGTGGTGTATAGTTCTACACAACTTTATCACATGTGCAGGTATATGTATCCATCATCAAAATGTTGAACAGTTGCATTACTGCAAGGATCTCTTTATATGCCTTCTCCTACCTCCCTCTATGTTCCTTCCCCCAAGTCCTTGCAACCACAATCTGTTTGACCATTTCTAAAATTCTTTTGTTTCAAAAATGTTATAAATGGAATGGAATCATGTCGTATGCGACTTCTGGGGGTTTGGCTTTTTTTTTTTTTTTTTTTTCTGTCCACTCATTGCAATTCACTGGAGATTCATCTAAGTTGTTGCCTGGCTGCTAATTGTTAGAAGGGTTTCTGATGGAAACTTGTTATGAGTGGCTTGGGTTTGCCTGGTGTTTTCCCTGGGGCTCCTGAGGAGTCGAGGAGAAGAATGGGCCTATCTGGGCTGCCTCCTGTCTCTATGTCGAGGATTGGAAATGCCGAGTCTGGTTGGCCGCCTTCTGTTAGGAGAGGGGAAATAATATGCCTGGCTGCTGAGTTGTTCTTCCAGTCTTGGAGTCCCAAATTAGTGTGTCTTTTTACCATCTTTTAGACATTTTCTTTGATCGCCTTGTACATTATTTCTAGGGTTTATCGTTGCACTGAGTTGGGGAGACAGGGCGAAATAGGTCTATACCAGCTTGTCCAGAGCAGAAGTCCTCATGGTAGCTTAAATATTCCTATTTGTTCATACACCTCTCTGAGCTCCCCAAAAACACACATTCTTCTTCTACTTTAAGAGTTAACATATTCTCCCTATGTGTGTTTGCAACTTTTGAAGGAAACTTGGATCCAATCTAGTTTACTCTCAGGCTTGTATTGGAGCTGGAATTCATGGGTTAGGATGTTTTGGGCTGTGAATACACAATAACCAACTAAGATGGACTTAAGCAATGAGGCACGCTGAAGGGGTTACAGGTTTGTTTCAGCTCCAGCTCAGTGTCTCAGAAATTCTCTTGGGTGTTGTTCATGCTGGCAAGTTGACTACTGCAGCTTCAAGCATTATATCATCTACAACTTCCGAAATTAGAGAGATACAGGTCCCTGTTTCTTGCCCTTGAAGGTACATTTTCCTTGAAGCCCTCCAATAGATTGACCCTTTGCCTCATTGGCTAGGGATGCATCACACACAAGCTTGCCGACAGTGGAAATGGAATCACTAATAATTGTTTTGGAGCAATTAACACTCACTCACTCTGTGGCTTGAGACATATCCCATAAAGCACATGGGCATTTAATTTTTCAACAATATCACATTTATTTGGAAGAAAATATGTGGTAGTGGCAGTAGTTAAGTCATACTAGGCTAATCTGTATTAATTGCCTTATTTTAATAAAACAATCATCAAATTGTAGAAATATAAACTGATAGAAATCGGATGGAAATTAGGACCAAGCAGAATAGGCTACTGAGATAAATGGATTCAGCTACAGAGTTGAGTCCTTAAGCTGCAAAATTCTGTTTCTAAGACAGGAATTTGTTTTAAGCCTGATGGCCAATGTTTCAAATCAAAGCTTCAGTCATAATTGATAACTGAATTATCAAGGTAGTAGGATAGCCTGGGAAAGTAGAAACAATGACCCAGTGTTCAAACAAGAAACCATATTTCACCCAAGTCATAGTAGGCCACGGGTCGCTAGGAGAGGTTGCTGATAGACTGCTTCATTTAGTATGGATTGTTTTGAAAACCAGGCAGTCTGAGTCACTAGACACAGGACATCAGTAATGCTTATGGGAAGGAAGAAGCAGGGGCTCCCATTGAAAAATCTGGTCAGCAGGCCTACTTGCTATCCTAAACTTAAGTAACTCCGCAATGGAATTTTGATTCTGGAAGATGCATGCCAATTAGAAATATTTCCGGTCTTTATTTTAATTTCGACACTGATACAATGCAATAGCAGAGAACTATTGAAAATGAGTTCATTTAGCAAAGCATTGTTTGATATTATTTAGAAAATAATCCAGGATATGGATATGGTACTGACACTGACATGGAAAATAAAATTTATTTAATTGGTTGAATTGTTAAACAAACACTTATTAATGTTTGCATTATTCAGAAACTACTATGTGCCAGAGTCTATT
This sequence comes from Homo sapiens, assembly GCF_000001405.40. NCBI lineage: Eukaryota > Metazoa > Chordata > Mammalia > Primates > Hominidae > Homo > Homo sapiens. The sequence goes on along the minus strand of NC_000013.11, from coordinate 74,910,219 downwards.
CTAGATACTGATGGTACGAGTCTCTATTGCTGAGAGAGCATACATTTGATTGAAATTATACTAATTAGATGCTAGGCTCTAATCTAACCTGAGGATACAAAGATAAACAAGACATATTCTCTAACCAACCATAAGCAGCTTAGTCTAGAAGGTAAAATAGGACAAACTCTGTACCTATCTTGCTTATGATTAAATTTGAAGGAATTAGCAGAGAACCTGGCACATAACTGATGCAAAAACCTTTTTTGCATAAATGAATATGTAAACAACTACAACATTGTATGGTAATGCTATACTAAAAGTATAAAGGGAATCTTAGGGTAGTGAGGATATATATAAGGTTAATTATGCTCTCGGGAAATGCAGGGCAGGTAAGAGAAAGCCTCAGAGGAAATAGTTGAACTGAACCTTGAAGGATGAGCAGGATTATGCTAAGTGGAGAAACAGAATGAACAAAGATGTGAACGTACATTGAAGTTTTGGGAAATGGATAGAAATGTACATGTAACAGAACCTAGGGTGGATAATGAGTGGGTGGAAATGACTTTGGGAAGGTAGACTAGAATCATCTTGGAAGAACTGAACATATCCTTCTAAGGAGTGTATACTTGGTTCTGTAGGTAATGGAAAAACTAAGTATATAAACTTTGTGATTAGGTGTGATTCTTAAGAAGGACCCTCTGGCAGCTTTATGGAGGATGGGTTGGAGACCACCACAAGCCTGAAATTTAAGTCCAAAGGCATGTATAATAATCCAAATAAAAAAAATGCTGAGAGCCAGGGTTAGAGCATGGATGTTGGGAATAAAAAGGCATTTTAGTGGCACTGAGAGATATTTAGAAATAGAGTTAACTAGACTTAATAACTGATTGGATATTTATGATAAAGGAAATAGGGAATCAATTTTTAATTTGGTTTCTAGTTTGGGAAATTGAGTGGAGAGTATTGTGGTTGGCTTATCAAGGGAAAGTATTCTTGGGGAGAAAATTGAGATAAGCTCCCTCTCACTGAATATACTATGGCAACAGACAGAACAACCTTTACAGATATAGGACAAACATTAATAGTGCATTAATCCCTGGGATAAATAGTTTTTTTTAAACAAACTTTTATTGAAATACAGCATTCACAAGTCAAAAGGGCACAGTAAAATGAACTCAAAGTGGCACTTGTATAAACCATTTGCCAGGTTAAAGAATAAAACGTGATTAATGCCTGCAAATTAATAAATCTATTTTATGACTGTCTAGCAATCTGCATACTTACCAGTTCTCAAACATAAGGGATGCAATCTTCACCAAATAAACCAACAAAAACAACAAAAAAACTGAGTCTATTTATTACCTCATCCTTCTATCGAGGAAATAGCTCAATCTTTTCCTCCTCAATATTTGAGAGTATATTTGACCTGATTTGACTTAAAATTGAGACTCTATCATATACATCATGGGTGGCAAGTCAAAGAAGTAGGTTGTTAATTCCAGAGTAGGTGAATTTGAAATAGTACAAGAAGCCCTGTGACTACTGGTGGGAATGTGTGTTAGACATATTAAGGAGCTGACGACAGAGAGAACAAATGGGGTGCTCAGATAAATTAAATTGTGTTTTTTAAAAACATCGACAGTCATTAGGGCAAAGCTCTAACTTATTAGCATTGATTTTCTGCCTGTTACTCGGGTAATAACTATAGCTAATATTTATTGGCCATTTACTATATGCTGGGACTGTTCTATGTTCTTTATAGGTATTAAATAATTTAAACCTTACTATTCTTATCAGATGAGGCACCTGAAGCAAAAAGCTGCTGTGTAATTTGCCTGAAGTCACAGCTAGAAAGTTGTGGAGTTGGGCTTTGAATGTGGGCTCTTGGCTGCAGAACTACTGCTTGAAATTTACTCCAGTAATGCTAGACTAGGACGTAAGCCACAGGATGAGAAGCAGTGTCAATCTATGTAATTAGTGATGAATAATAATGCTCACAAGCAATTGCTAATTCTTATGGCATAAGTAGAAAAGGCTCTGATGGAATAATTTAATCAAGAGGCAGTATAATGGTATATAAATATATGAAGACATTTAACCTCTATCAATTCCTATTTTATATTAATTTATCAAACACATTACAAATTAGATAAGTCCTTTTTCAGAATTCTGACTTTTAGAAGGTTTAGAAATGCAAGCTTATCAGAAAATGATGACAATGTGATGACGGATCTTGTAACGTTGATGGCAGCTTGGAACAGGAAGTGTTGCATCCTGCCTGGAAGTTGGGCAGCTCTCTGTAGAGAAAACATCTGAACTGCCTCCTGAAGGATAAGCAGATATATGTGCCAAACAATATAGGGGAAGACTGTCTTTGAATATCAAAGGCATTGTGATCAAAAAGCACGGTTGAGCGAGCGAAAGAAAAGGCTGATGACTGGAAAGGCAGGAAAAAGCCAGTTGAAGTGGGTGTTATAAATCAGGCTAAAATTTGGTTTTAACCTTGTCCAGTAGTAGCTTTCAAGCTTTCCTGACTCTGACTGATGGTAAGAAATTCTAAACAAACTGCAATTAAACAATTGTTTAACCGTAATTAAAATACATTTCCTGACACAAGACTTTCTCATTAAGTCTTGCCTTTCATTTTTTCTCTTGTTTTCCTTCCCTTTCCTTTTCTAATTTTCTAGTCTTTTCTAGATTTCATTGAACAAAAAGTCATATTTGAGAGCCACTAAATTGTTTTAATGGCCCAGCAAGAGATAACTTCCTATAGTAAATGAGAATATCTGAAATGACCTATTATATTTACATTTTAGAAAAACCACTTGATTTCAGAGTAAGGATTTGAGCAAGCTGATCCTGGCAGATAGACTTGAGGTAGGGATCCAATTAGGAACTATTCAAAAAAATCTAGGTGAAGGCTTTGATAGAAAAATTGGACTAAAGAAAACTTGCCATTATGATTATGATGGTATGGGAGGAGGGCAGGGAAGTGCTGGGTAGAGAAGGGCAGGGTCCCTGGCAAGGGCTCCACCCTCGGACCTGTGCCCATGAACCTAAGTGAGAATAAGCAGTCCTGTTTTCATGCCCAAATGTTGCCTTTTCCAAGACCACTCTGGCCCACCATGCCCCCCATCCTGTGCGCATATAAACCTGAGACCTTAGCAGGCACAGACACAAGTGACTGAACATCGAGAGGAACAGAGGACCACATGGACAGACACCAGCAGACACTGGCAGACCAGCGATGGCAGAATGAGGTGGCAGAGAAAGAAGAGGAGGGACGTCTGGATGCTGAGAAGAATTTGGCTGGGGGTGGTCCAAAAAGAATCTGGCCACTGGGCACCCCGACTCCATGGGAAGATCACCTTCCCACGCCATCCCCCGCTTCCAGCTCCTCATCCATCCGACTTACTGAGAGCCACCTCTACCACTCAATAAAACCTTGCACTCATCCTTTGAGCCCACATGTTATCTGATTTTTCTGGTATACTGGGCAATAGCTCAGGATACAGAAAGCTGTCACACTGGCCCTCTGCCCTTGCTATAAGGCAGAGGATCTATTGAGCTATGAACACAAGCCATCTGCAGATGGAAAAGCTGAAAGAACACACTGTAATGCAAGACTACTTAGGCTTCAGGAGTCACAGACACCTACTCTAGATGCTGCCATGGGACCAGAGCCCAAAGGTGCTCCCCAAGGCCTCTGCACCTGCCCATCTGCATGCTCCCCCTAGGAGTTTGAGCGGGGGGGGGACTGAAGGAGCAAGCCACACCCCTGCCGCACATCCTGCAAGGGGGATAAGGGAACTCACACATTTTAAAGGCAACAAAACCAGTCTCAGATTCAGAGATAGTTTAGATATGAAGTCTGAGAGAAGGAATCCAGAACCAGAGATGAAAAAGTTTGTAATCTATATATTGAAATATTAGATGTGTGAAAACCTAATAAATCCCTTCTTAGCTTCAGAGAACTCCTTCCTAAAAAATACCAAAATGAGCCATTCTTTACATGTCAGATTTTCTTCTTTTGAGGTTCCTGATTAAATGATCTCATTCAAAGGAATGTTCTTTTCTACTTTTATGACCTAATGGCAGGCTTTTAGTTTTTCTTCAAGCACTTAAAAATTTCTATCTAGTAGGTTATGTACAAAATCCCATTAGGGAATTATCGAAAAATAATAAAATGTTTGACCCCTGTAAAGTTTTACATGGAAAGAAATTAAAAGAAAAATCTTTGGCTTTAATATACCCTAACATTGAAACAGAAAATCTTCAGATGATTTAGGGAAGAAGTGGTTTTGCTCTTTAATGAGGATATATTGCTGCTTAGAAGCAGTTACAATTGGGCTGTTTTGCAGTAGTATGATGCATCAGATGGGTTAATCCCCACACAATCAGCTTGTGTGGCACTGTTGGACTTTATTAGATTTGTGACTGCACCAAGCCAAGGGGTGGGGGGCAGCAGCTCTTAGGAGGAGAATAACAAATAATAGCTTTTTCTTCAGTTTTGTTTCATTCTGTTATCCCTTATGTCATTCCATCTGAACTGCCTTTTAAAAAAATTGAGATAAAATTCCTTCAAGATTAAATTCACAATTTTAATCATGTTAAAGTATACAATTCAATGGGTTTTAGTATATTCATAGTGTTGTTTAACCATTGCCAGGGATTCCAGAATATTTTTATCACTCCAAAAAGAAGCTCTTATACCTGTTAAGCAGTCATGCCACATTCCTCCTTCCCTCCAGCTCTGGCAGCCAGTAATCTACTTTCTGTCTGTGTGAATTTGCCTGTTTTGGATATTTTATGTACATTGAATCATATATATATATATATATATATATATATATATATATATAATCTTTTTGTTTTGGCTCATTTTACTTAGCATAGTGTTTTCAAGGTTCATCCATATTATAGCATGTATCAATCCTTCATTCCTTTATTTGGCCGAATAATATTCTGTTGTATGGATGTGCCACATTTTGTTTATCCGTTCATCTGTTGTTGGACACTTGGATTGTTTCTACTCTTTATTATGAGTAACGCTGATATGAACATTCATGTTTTTGCTTCTCGTGGGTATACACCTAGAAGTGGAACTGCTGGAATCAAATGAAAATTCTATATTTAACTTTTTGAGGAACCTCCCAAACTCTTTTCCACAAGTATTGCACCATTTTACATTTCCACTAGTAATGTATGAAGTTTTTCAATTTCTCTGTATCTTTGTCAAAATTTGTTATTTAAAAATAAATTATAGACATTGTATATTAGTCCATTTTCACACTGCCATAAAGAATTGCCCAAGACTGGGTAATTTATAAAGAAAAGAGTTTTAATTGACTCACAGTTCCACATGGCTGAGGAGGCCTCAGGAAACTTACAATCTTAGCAGAAGGTGAAGGGGAAGCAAGGCAAATCTTACAGGGTGGCAGGCAAGCGAGTGAGAAGGGGGAAGTGCCAGATGCTTATCAAACGACCAGATCTTGTGAGAACTCACTATCATGAGAATAGCATGGAGAAAACACCCCCATGACCCAGTCACCTCCCATCAGGTCCGTGCCTCGACACATGGAGATTACAATTCAGATTACATTTCAAGATGAGATTTAGGTGGGGACACAGCCAAACCACATCTTATTGCTTTTTGTAATTTATTACTTTTTAACCCTATATTCACATTTCAGTCTCCTACACCTTAGTCTCACTTTTCTACACTTATGTTGCCAGCCACATGAGGTTATTTGTATGAAAACCTACTTTAACCATGCCCTTTATTCATGGGTGGAATCATCACAGTCTTTTCCTAGTATATTTCATATGTCAATAGGAAATAATTGGTATATTAATTATTTATTGCTGCATGACAAGTTACTGCCAAACTTACTGGCTTAAAACTACAAACACTTGTTATCTACAGTGTCTGTGGGTAAAGAACTCATGCACAACTCTAGCTGAGGGTTTCTCTCAGCACGAATCTAGGTGTGGGTCAGGGCTTCAGTCTGTACTTAGGCCTCACTGGGGCAGGATGCTGTCCCGCTCACTTACGTGGTTGTTGCGGATTTCAGTTTCTCACAGTGGTTGGACTGAGGGCCTCAGTTTCTCATTGGTTGTTGCTAGAGGTTCCCTCAGTTTCTTGCCATATGGCCCTCTCTAGAGGGCAGTTCAGAAGATGATAGCTGCTTCAGAGTGAGTAAGAGAAAGACCAGGCAAGAAGGAAGATACAATCCTTTTGTAATCTAATCTAAACTCAGAAGAATGATAACATCTCATCAACGTTATCCTATTCTATTCAACAGTAAGTTGAATTACTTGGTCCAGTCCATCTTCAAGGGCAGGGGATTATACAAGGGCCTGAACACCAGGATGTGGGGATTATTGAAGGCCATTTCAGAAGCTGCCTACTAGAATTTTTTAGGGAAAGGGACAAAGACTTTAGGCATCAACACATTCCCTCATATTTTACAAATGTAAGTACTTTGACACAAAATTTTTTAGTGTTTATTTAAATATCGCTAATTCTCCTTTTTTGAGACAGGATCTCTCTGTCAGCCAGGCTGGAGTGCAGTGGCTCACTGGAGACTGGAACTCCTGGGCTCAAGTGATCCTCTTACCTCAGCCTCCCAAGTAGCTGAGACTACAGCCACATGCCACCATGCCTGGCTAATTTTTAAATTTTTGTGGAGATGGGATCTCACTGTGTTGCCCAAGCTGATCTCAAACTCCTGGGCTCAAGCAATCCTCCAGCCTCAGACTTCCAAAGTGCAAGGATTATAGGTGTGATATCAGCCACTGTGCATGGCTGATATTTCTTAAAAATATATATATTCTCAAGGTTCTGATCACTTGGCAATGCAGAGAAATTTGGCAGAAAAGAAAAATTTGGAGTGAACCAGGAAACCTGATTGCTACTTTGAGGCCTAATATTAACAAAAATTCATGATATGCTTATGCAAAGCTTGTAAACTCTTTGGACTAAAGTTTTATTATCTGTAAAATCAAAGGGTACTTCCTATCAGGGGCTTTTAAGATTTTTTGACTGCAACCCACAATAAAAAAAATCATTTTACACGAGGACCAATCTGCTACATACATATTTGGAACCACTTCACAGATGATGGAAACAAAAGGTTCAGATAACTGAAACAAAAAATAACAAAAAAACGGTACTTAGTTTTACAAAATACAAAACTTTCTGGTATTTTCCTTGACATTCTATTATATTTTATTGACATACTTTATTTTATTTAATTAAAAAAAATGAATTGACCCAGTGAAGTGTTTTCGCTACCTTCTAGTGCATTTCAATCCTCAGTTTGAAAGCACTGTGATTTCTACAGCTGCTTCCAAAACTGCAAGACAACTCTAGGATTATTTGCTGTGTCTGTGAAGGTGATGAAAAGAGAAAGATATACATTTCTCCTTTGCCTTAAGCACCACGTTGGCCAGTTAAGAGTATATTAGCAAGCTGTCTGCCTCTCTGCTATTACCAACATGCGTGCACATTACTTTGGTAAAGAGGTCACAGGTAGCTATTTCAGAAAGCTAATGACTGCATGGTACAAATAGCCCTTGGCTTTGCCTCAGGCTATCAACTCTCTCAAAAGTTCTTAATCCCCCCAAAATGACCTTTTTTTCCTACTCTAGTAGGTTCAAGGGGTTATTGATTCTGTCACATATGTGTTATGCTTTGTTCTCTGGTACATTATATTTATTCCTCAGCCCTGTGGATGCATCACAGTTGATGTGATGGGCAATGCCAAGTTAATCAGGAATATTCACTGAAAAGGAATGTTTCCTAGATGGGATCATACATACGTTGCTTCTAAAATTTTTCACCAAATTATTCCTAATGCAAGAGCAGCACAAAATCTGTGACAACTCTCTGAACAAGTCAACTTTCATTGAAGATTTTTGCTTTAGCTTAGATATTCATGCAAATTTTGAACTCTATGATATGTGCTTGTTTTAATAGCTAATCAATGTTTTACATTATTTATGAGTCAAATTACTTTAACTTCCGTCACTTCTCAATCTTAGAATAGAATTTATGTTCCAGGAGGCTGCACCATGATTTTCCTTGGCTGAATGCAAAATACCTAAGGAATTTTGAGAAGCATGAAACATGTTTTTTTTTCCATGTAATCCTCATAATCACCCCCATGAAATAGGTTTTATTGTTCAGACTTAGCAGATGAGGATTAAGAATCTCCAGAAAGTTATGTAATCGATAACAGCATTAGAACTTAAAAGTAGCTCTGTGTCTACAGCTCTTGTTTGCCTTATCATATCATAACGCCTTTAAACCTTCAGGAATTGAAGAATGCAGATCATTCTGAAATATTCACTGCAGATATTTAAAGGATCCTATATATTTCCAATATAAGTACTTAGCATCCTAAGAGAGAAGATACAAAAAGTATGAGAATGAAGACACTTGCTCCTTCAAAGAAGGAACTTCAGTGTACCTAAAGATCGCTGTTTTCTAAAGTAAGGTTCAGGAGAAGTCTAGAAGAGCATTATGAAGATGAAATATCTGAAGTCATAGGATATAAATCATGTTATAGGAACTAGATTGCTGGTAATGAAGATTTGATTCAGATGATGTCATGGCCAGGGACCATGAGTTTCCAGATTTCTTCTTTGTCAATTTTCTCTACCCAAGCTGAGTTTCTCTGATTTGCTCCAAATCTAATTGTAGAACCGGAATGCATAAGAATCCTTATTTTTTTTAAAAAGTAAGATCAGCTTGGTGCGGTGGCTCAGGCCTGTAGTCCCAGCACTTTGGGAGGCCAAGGCAGGCAAATCAACTGAGGTCAGGAGTTGGAAACCAGCTTGGCCAACATGGTGAAACCCCTTCTCTACTAAAAATATAAAAATTAGCCGGGTGAGACTGCACCATTGCACTCCAGCCTGGGCAACAAAGTGAGATACCATCTCAAAAAATAAAAATAAAAATAAGAAAGAGAGAGCACCAAACACCCTCTGACTTCACTTATCTTTTCAACTGCTTGCAGCCCTCTCAGTGATTGCAAGAAGGTGTGGATATACCTGCTACATAAGAAAGAAAGCCGGAAATGAAAGAGCAGAAAGAATGGGTGCATGTGTTTTAAAGCATGTCATACTATTAAACCATTTATTATGAGATGAAATATTGAAATGGATATCAAAGTGGACACTCTCTGTCTGCTTATAACTCTAATTCATATATCCTTATATTATCTAGTATTTTTATTAGCATTGTTTCAGGATTTAGCATTTGTCAACATACTAGATACATTTTCCCCTCTATAGACATCTTATGTCTATAAAGATTTCTTAGCCCGATTTGTATCATCTACAAAATAATTACTGGTCCTAATTTCCCGAAAGCCAAATAATCATTTCCATATATTTTTTGTTCTGGCATTCTCATAAAAAATACGATGCCTTTTTTTTTTCCCTGTAAAGGTCACCTTTCATACCACTTTTCAAACACCTCCTCCAAAAGGATGATGATGCAAATATCTCTTCTCATTATTTCTTCCTCCTCCATTGTCTTCAGCATGTGACTTTTTCGACATGGTAGTAAAATGGCTGCTGCACTGCCAGGCATCCTTGAAACAAACTCAACTGCTGTGTTTTTATCATTTTGTACCTGGATGGTGGACATGATGCATGAAATAGCAGCCATCTTGCTACTATGAAGACAAAAGCCAAGAACAGAGGAAGATGGAGCAGAAAAAACAAAGAGCCTGGTCCTTGATGACATCATGGAGCTACTGTACCAGCTGTGACTGCCAACTCAAGACTTTTTTTTTGCATATAACTCTATAGATAGCTAAGATTTTAAGCTTAAAAACTATCCTTGTGTCTTTACATTTCTCTTCATTCTATCTACAAATAACCATTATCCTGACTTAAGATAACCATTCCCTTACTTTATAGCTTTAATACCCATATATTAGCCTTGCTTTTTGTTGTAACTTCATAAATCAGAATTTTGTTTTCTGTGGCTTGCGTTGTTTTCTCAACATTATGCTTGAAAGATGGAGCCATGTGAACAAATACAGTATTTCATATAAATACAGGATTTGGCTGGAATTTATTTTTTCATGTTGTATGGTATTCCATGTAGCATGTAGCTTTCATTTATTTCCATTTCTATACAACATTTTCTATAGCATGTAGTTGTAGTTCATTTATTTCCATGGTTGTACAGCATTCCATATAGGTGTACTTCATTTGTTTTCATTGCTGTACAATATTCATGTATTACATAGCTGTCCTTCAATTGTTTTCAATGCTTTACAGGATTCCATTTGTAAGCATTCAACAGTTCCTTCAATGGACATTTGGTTTGTTGCCACATTGGAGCTATTGTGAATGATGCTGCTAAAAAGGTTTTTGTACATGTCTACTCGTGTTCTGTGTGCAAGTTTCCCTAGGGTATATACCTTGAAGTAGAATTGTTGGGTCACAGGGATTGTGTTTTTTAGTTTACTAGAAAATGCCTAACTGTTTTCCCAAATGGCTGTCTACTTAAACTTCCTTCCATAATATATGAGAAGTCACATTGTTTCACATTATTTTATTCCTTTACTCTTCTGTACCTACTTTTTATTTTACAATGAGTGTATGTTTACTAACAGAAAAGATGTTTTCTTAATTTATTTTTTAAAAACTTATCCTTACAGAGAGAATAAACATTGTTATTTAAATATATACATAGAATGAGTTTTTAATCCTTTGCAAATGATACAATTGAGCTTTTTGATGGTTAAAATATATTTATGGCTCTTTGCTCCCACCCCAAGTTAACTGATCACTTTGTGTCCCTGATATAATACACATGTGAAGTACAGAATTTTTACCAGGAAGTCCCAGATAAATAACTAGGACAAGGAAAAGGATGTGAATTCCATTATCTGATTTGGGGATAGTAAGAAATATTTACTTCTCCCTTTCTTTTCTGTAATAAAACTGCTATGTGGCAACCGTGGAGACTTCTTGAATAGTAAGATAAATGGCTGTGATTTTTATAGAGTGTTGGTATTTAAACAGTAGCATGAACTACCTCAAGGCTTGAGAAAATAAAGGTCTTGTTCTCTCTGGAGAGCACTGTCTCATTTTGGAAAATTATCTATTTCTGAAATGTGCACTGTTTTCCAATGCTCTGGCTGGACTATGAGCTGCAGTGAGGATCCGGGAACCTTTACAGCAGCAAAAACAATTTGTTTCAGACAGGCACAACACAATTAGGAGAAACAATATTTTGCTTTGGAAAATATCTCCTTATGATGTAATCCACATAACAAATACATTGATTTAGATGTCTTTATTTATAATATGAAATACAACTTGCCTTGAAATGTTCCCTTGATGCATTCAAAGTTTTAAAAACTTGTTTGACACACATCTATCCTCTAGATCAGTGGACTATATTTTTTTAAAAACACATATTTTATCAGTTAGATTTTTATAACAAACCCTCAAGTAAATACATATATACACATATATGTACATATGCATATGTATATAAATACATAATTTACTTATATATCCTATGGAACTAATATAATTCAATAGCATAAAATGTACCTGAAATAGAAATTTTAAAACAGAAAAAAGCTGAAAAACATTAGTTTTTAAATTTTAGTTTTTCATTACTACAAGATGCTTTTGTATTCGTAAAAATGTGTTAAAACTAGAGTAATATAGTTTGACATTTTTTTTCCCAAACAAAAAAAAAGCTCCATTGAACACTTCATGATATAGTAACTTAAGATCTGGTTCTGAGGCTACTTATTTTGATAATAGAGTTTAAGAACAAAAAGTATGTTTTACAAATATACATAGATCTAAATAGTTTTGTCTACTAAATAATAAAACATATTTTTACCTCTTACCCTCATTTTTGCAAAGCATTTGTTAAAAATAGGGTGACAAGTGTCCATTTATTCTAATGTTAAACCCAGTATGTGCTATATTTTAATAATTTAAACTGATATTCATTCTCTATTGAGATTCTATTTGGAATCTGTGAAAACAGGTTAGAGAGGCCTATTTCTGAGTTTTTCAAGTGTTTAAATAAGATTCTCTGAGAGACCTTTTAGTATCATCTTCAACAGCAAAATCTTATAAATATGGAAATATTTTTAAACATCAATTTTTGAAATATAGCATGAGTCTCCTTTAAATAAAAGGACTTTGTGACTTATTGTTTAAATATCATTTTTACCTTGAAAGTACAGATTAAGTAGATTAACTTCTTTTTTTCCTTCCCAAAAACTTTTTCCGGGCTGGGTGCGGTGGTTTACACCTGTCGTCTCAGCACTTTGGAATGCCAAGGCAAGAGGATTGCTTGAGCCCAGGAGCTCCAAACCAACCTGGGCAGCATAGTAGGACTCTCTCTCTACAAAAAATTTAAAAAAATAGCCAGATATGGTGACATGTGCCTGTAGCCTCAGCTTCTTGGGACGCTGAGGCAGGAGGATTGCTTGAGCCAGGAGGTTGAGTCTGCAGTGAGCCATGATCGCACCGCTGCACTCCAGGCTGGGTGACAATGAGATCCTGTCTCAAGAAATAATTCTGGGTAATATATTGCTGATTACTACTTTTCATCAAATTAAAGGTTGGCAAAACTGACACTTTTGCCTTTTGTAAAATAAAAATACACAAATTATTCTTCGATACCTCTTTTAAATATTTTGCAATGAAATACCCAGTGATTCTGTGTGCTTTAAAAGACGTATATGTTCATTCCCCATGCAATTAAATATTTTAAGTATTTCTCCATGATTCACAATAAATCCCCTTTGGTGGTATAAACCTGGGGAACCCCCTAAAGATAGGGTCCCTCTCTTGCCCAGCTTGAAGGTTCTTCATTTGTATTGTATTACAGGTGATCAGAGTTGTGCAGCAGGTGATCTAATTGGCATCTTGTAGCATTTTGGGCACTTTGCTTCTGGTTTCAATTATTTGCTGCAGTAGCATGCCTCAGAATGAGGCAGCAGATGCATTTCACAAGCTGGAGTATCTCTGAGCTCTGAAAGCAGATTCCCATCTCCATTCCAGTCATGGGCATATATATTCTATGAATGGTTACATTCAGACCAAACAACCATCCTCAGTGGCTCACAAAAAAGTAGTTCTTTGTATATTTCATTATTGAAACAGCATATAGCAAATAGCATAGACTGAAACATAGCATAATCCATAGCTTCATCCAAAAAAACCAAATCTCCCACAATGTGTGATTTGTGGCTTGTTTCTTTCCATTTCCAACAATATTTTCTGTCTTCCAGCAGTGTATGTTGAAAAAGAAATGGTTTTAGATCATCTCTCTATTATTTTTAGCCCATTATTGCAGTCCACTCTACTATCTATTGCAGGAAGGAGACTTTCTTCGCTGGTATGTGGAATTTGGTTTTCACAATGAAGTGAAAGAACCTTAAAAGAGACTTCAAACAGTTGCCATAGATTTAATAGAGAAATTTGATAAAATACTGCAGTGACAATAACTATGACTTTTTCCCTTAAAATTGTCATGGTCTGTTTTTATGTCCTGGCTGTTCATTTTTTAATATTTTTATTAATATGATGGCTTTATACTATCATTACTATTTTAAAGCCAAGAATACACATTGAATGAGATTAACTTATCAAGTGTAAGTATACACACACATATTCCAAATAGTCTTCTTGATTATTTCGACTTATCTGATGGTCATTCCTTCTAAGATGGCAATGTAGTCCAATGGAGATCTCAGATAAGGAGTGGTAGATGTCAGCTCTGTGATTTTAATATTTACTTGACCATGAGTGATTAGGTTTAGTTGCTATTGGTAGTTCCTTTAAAGACACCTATTTTGTGTGAGTCGGTTTCCTTTAGTTTCATTAAAATGAAGTGATATAATTATGAATTGATTTAACTGGGCCCAGCAAGCTGCAATCACTTGTAATTATTCAAAGAGGAGATATGATGCAGATACCACTGTTAACTCTGTGTTTTAAAAAAATCTCTACTTTTTCTTTGTTTTGCCTTAACAACTGTGTATCTCTAGTTCATATTTCACTTTCAGCCACTCATTTACCAGGTCTTTACATTATTTTCAGAATCCTGAAGATACAGTACCACTCTCCTAGTGTGTTTTTAAAAACGTGGCCTTTCTTTTCAGGGAATTTAAAGACATAGGCTTTGTAATCTTAGAATTTTTATGGTTGCTTATACATCTATTTCTCTATTTTTAGGACACTTACCTGATTATATATCAGTTAATGCCGGTCTATTATAGAAAAATTGGAAGACTAAAGTAAAGTATAAAGAAGGAAATTTAAAAGACCCATTATCTAACCACACAGAGAGAAACTGACTTTTCGTCAATGCACACAACAAATACATATTTGTCACTATATACTGTAATATGTGTATAATATATTTAAATGAGAATCATGTGTATGTACTCTTTTGTAACTGTTTCCCTCTCCTTAAATTATTGTATACATCTAATAATTTCTGTGGGTTATTCTCTCCAGGAGTCTGTCCCCACTTACATAATTTTTAAGTGACTGCAGTCTTGCCCACAAGAGTCTAGCTTAATTTTGTGGCTAGACCATAATTTACAGAAAGTCATGCAGAGGATATGTCATGGCAAATTAACTATGGTTCCTTTTTTATTAAACATGAGACAGGAAACATTATAATGATCTTTGGACATTCTTACAATATGGGGCTACCCACTTATGATTATGAAAGGTCTTGAAACTCAGAAAAATATTTTTAATTTGGATAACTTGGGTGAAATGTGGTTGATATTTTGGGGCAAGCAGGCTGTGTGCTTCCTCCTCAGCTTCCTCAACAAAGTTTTGGAGTTATTTTTTGTAGTCATTTCACAAAAAAAGTCTTGGCATGACATTATACAAAGCTCTACATGCCTTGGTAAATGACAAGAACAAGTACTGATCTGAAGGAAAAGTATTTACTGACATGTGTAATGACAAGAAATGAACTAATTGTCATAGTGCTGGAGCAGTTACAGTGATTGATAAATTGATGTCAGGCTGTCCCAAAGATCTGATTTTTAGATTGGAAAATTTACCTTCATTATGCATGCAAAACATATCTCTATTCCCAAACCCAACTCATTTATAAAAGGACTAGAGACATCTGGTGTGATAAGGAACGGTCTTACTATGGGAATTGAGTTAAATGAGGGTAGAATGAGGAAACAGCAGTTAAAGGGGAATCCTCTCTCTATGACTAACTTTACTTTTTTTTTTTTAATAATCAGTCACTATATAAAACTACATTTTTCTACCAGCAAAATAGAAATCCTAATATTTTTTCCAATTAGAA
Source organism: Homo sapiens (assembly GCF_000001405.40). NCBI lineage: Eukaryota > Metazoa > Chordata > Mammalia > Primates > Hominidae > Homo > Homo sapiens. The sequence continues at coordinate 74,894,894 of NC_000013.11, read as the reverse complement.
ACATACACAGGAGCTAAAAAAATTACTGACATTAAAATTTCAGGTAAACGCAGAGTGCCATTTAATTGCTAATGATATGCCTTAGGTTTTGAATATGTAATTTTTGATGGCGTGGCATGAAACAACTGTAGTCTCCTCCAGAATGGTAATTTGAGGGCAGAAATAAAGAAGAATAACATGCCTCATTTAACTTATTGGAGAATTTGAGCTACATTAGGTTTATATATACCTTATACTTAGTATGCCAAAGAACCCAAAACAATTTACAAAAACCAAATTTTCTCAATTCTGGTTGACCTGTCCTGTTCTCATACACTGGTCACTTAAAATGGTCTACCCTAGAAAGCTTAGATGTTTGACATTGACAGCTGATGCTAAAGTGTCATAAAACTTACTTTAAGCATCTGTATCCAGGGTCGACTTACTCTAATAAAATATACATATACAATATTTTGTAATATATAATATGTTAATATAAATATATACCTTCTCACACCAGACAGAATGGCTATTAGTAAAAAGTCAAAAAATAACAGATGCCAGCAAGTTTGTAGAGGAAAAGGAACACTTTTACACTGTTGGTGGGGGTTTATTGCAGCACTATTCACAATAGCAAAGACACGGAATCAACCTAAACGCCCACCATTGATAGACTGGATAAAGAAAATGAGGTAAATATACACCATGGAATACTATGAAGCCATAAAAAGAATGAGATCATGTCTTTTGCAGGGACGTGGATGGAGCTGGAGGCCATTATCCTTAGCAAACTAACGCAGGAAAAGAAAACCAAATACTGCATGTTCTCACTTACAAGTGGGAGCTAAATGATGAGAACACATGGACACATGGCAGTTGGAACAACACACACTGGGGCCTGTCAGGGTGGAGGGATGGGAGGACGGAGAGGATCAGGAAGAATAGCTAGTGGATGCCGGCCTTAATACCTGGGCGATGGGATGATCTGTGCAACAAGCCACCGTGGCACACGTTTACCTATGGAACAAACCGGCACATTCTGCACATGTACCCCAGAACTTAAAAGTTGGAAATAAAATTACACATGTTATATATTTTAAAAGAATAACATGACACATGTATAAAAAACATATTCAATGACCACTTATAGTAATAACTATCTTTGCCTTATTAACATTGCCAGAAAATGATTGTTAATAAAAACTTGAAATATGAAGATGTCTAAATTTGATAAGGAAGTGAAATTTATTAAGATTATGGAGAAAAGAAATACTGTTAACTTCTCCCCAAAAGGGAATTCTATGTAAAACGTAGCTCTCTCTTCTTCCTTTAATCCGTTTTTAAAACTTGAAGTAAGGACGGACGGACATTCCCACTTGCCACGCTACCAAAAATTCCGGACCAGAGTGAGGGTCCATAATGAAATTTACCAAACTAGAAGGGCGTTCACTGAGAGTGACATCTCTAATGTATTTCTGCTGAATTTCTCTGTATAATAACAGTGAACTTTTCATAACAGTAAAATGTATTCGATATTGAATTAAGAAGGGATATTCACACAAAGTCACTGCCTTTTCCCTCTCTCTTTCCTAGGCTTCTGTCAGCACTGATTCCCTATCCCTTATTTAAATATTTTACATAAGCAATTACCTTGCAAGAGTAAGTTAAAACATTGCCCATGTTGGAGGGTCCACATGCTTGAAGTACAGATGCGGCAAAGATGGAGAAAATTTCCAGATTTTTTGCATTGAAAGTGTGTATGTGCCTGGAAGGGGTGTTTTAATGAGCAGCTCAAGCCAAATGGGTGATTAATAACAGACAGAAACTAATCTGTTTTCTAAGGGGTAGTCACTGCTAATACTAGGTTTTTGTGCAAGTTTAGGGCAATGGCTAATGGCTTGTAACGATCTGAGAAAGATTGAGCACTGAATCAGGAAAGATTATGCAAATATATCCCTTCTTGATAGCAAAAGCAGGGATATCTGAGCAGAGAGACATATTAAAATTAAGAAATTGGTTAAATGATGTAAAATCCTCCTTATTATTCTTGATTTGATCATAGGGAAGTATCTCCATTCCTTTCTACTGTGTTTGGTGTTGGTTGATTATTTCTGGTGGTTTTCGAAGAACTCTGGAGCCCTGTGTGTTGGTGGGCAAAGACAAAGCAGAAACAACTTGTGGAGAAAGATCATGCAAGAAGTATCATAGAAATCAGACTACCAAGTTAGGAGTTGGGAGGAAGGAACTTGGGACACAGCAGTAAAAGGAAACTTCTGATTTCTTTTTCCGGAACCCTTGCAGATCCTTCTACCTTTTTTCAGTGTCTCCAACTGCTGACATTTGGAAACCAAAGCCAAAAGCAATACATCAAATCAGCAGCTCCAGGCAGAAGGCTGTTTCAAACCAAAATTGATGTTTTAATCTTTAATCAAGTAGGAACGGCATGTTGTGAATGTTTCTAGGGAGTAAATTTACTAGTGCTGTAAGATTGGCCCAACCTAGGTATTTTGTACAGATTTGGTTTCATTTTAGTCCCTGGTCAAAACAAAACAGCACTGTATGCAATTTATAAACCAAAATGAAGCATAACGCAGTGTAGACATTCATCATAAGTTCTTTTATTAAAATTCCTAAGGTTTAGTCCAGATCTGTAATCAGATCCTACATGTGGAGTATGCCATTACATTGAGGAAGAGAAAGTAAATGGTTTTAGAAATGAAAAACCAAGGAAGGAAAAGGGGAGTGCTATGATTTTCTTTCCATGAAAAACATGTAGTACTGTGGAACTGATTTCAGCTGAAAACTGAGGGAAAGCGTTGCTTGGATGGTTCTGTTTGTCTTCTTGAGTCCTTCAGCTTTCCCACTCATGCAAAGACAGATATTTTCCTAGGTTCCTCTTCTCTCTCCTGTATCACCAGAGGTGACCCCTCTGTAGGCATTTTCTAGCAGTTAATGATTGGCTAGTTTAAGGGCCCTGGGTTTTGCCTCTGGCCCTTAACCCGCATCTTGTTAACTGGCAGGATGTATTTCCTTTCTGTTATTTACTTTTCTATATTCTTAATAGAACAGAAGGTACCTTGGCTGAGGCAGACAACGTTACCCTTTCAGCGTCTCATTTGTAAATAACCCTGTTATGAGTAATAGGAAGTGATCCAGCTGGTTGTAAAAAGACACACGTTTAATGGGCAATTCCTGGTGGACTGATGGTTTTGCTGGAAAAAAAAACAAAAAACAAAAAACATCGCACCTGCAGGACACATTGCTCCAATTTTGGTTCTGAACATAATGAGCCTGCATTCAGACAGAGATGCACACACACCTCTCTGGGAGTTATAAACCTTGAAATATACAGGAGGAAAAAATATTAAAACCTATCTAGCTCATTTTTCTCCCTAGAGACAAACATTTTTCTGTCGGAGCATCATTCTTTCCTCAGGTTCAATAATTTCCAGGTGCAAGGTAGAGCCACTTTTATGTACAATGTATTGCCCCTTTAAATTTTTACACCAGGTCCATACAACTTATGTATGTACTGTGGTAATATGGCCACTGTTGCCTTCTGTGGTCATTAGAGCTCTGCCTTTTCCTGACACTTGAATGGTATCTGATATGGTAGTTCATGGCATTTACTTCATCAAAATTTGGTACCTGTTTAACTTGATGACCTAGTATTTTATGCTTATGTACTGCAACTGAACAAACATTTCTGGGGCACTCACCATAGTGCTAGATTTATTCTGTATACATCTAATACCTACTGAAGCCAGGCACCATGTCTACTGCACTATTTTTTCCCCTAGACACAGTGCAGTGCCTGGTGTTCGCTAATATAGCACAGTAGCTAAGGGCCTGTGTTCTATTTCAGCATGGCAGAATCTCTAGCTCAGTAACTTGGGCAAGTTACTTGACCTTTCTGTGCCTCAGTTTCCTCATGTAAATTTTGGAAAATAACAGTGTCGACATCAAGATTGTATTAGTCTCTACTGAAATAACCTATGTTAAGTGCCCAATGAATTTCTTGGCTTATTGTTAGCATCACAAATGTTAAATATATTATCATTTATAGTAGGTGCTTAATGTATTAGGGTCTCTAGAGAAACAGAATCAATAGGATATGTGTGTTGAGAGAGGGAGGGAGAAATATTGATTTTAAATAATTGGCACATGGAATTGTAGAAGCTTGGTGAGTCCAAAATCTGATGGGGTAGGACAGCAGGCTGGAAACTCAGGGAAGAGATGCACTTCAAGTACAAAGACAGTCTGCTGTCAAAATCCCTTGTTCCTTAGGGGAGATCACTCTTTGTTCTATTAAGATCTTCAGTTGATTGGGTGAAAGCCACTCACATTACGGAGGGTAATCTTCCTTACTCAGATCCACAGTTCTGAAGTCTAGAAGTCCAAAATCAAGATGTCAGTAGGGTTGGTTCCTTTTGAGGCTGTGAGAAGGATCTGCTGTGGGCCTTTCTATTTAGCTTATAGATATTAATATGCTTTTTATGCCTCTTCACATCTTCTTCCTTCTATATGTATCTGTGTCTAAGTTTCCCCTTTTTATGATTATGAAGACACCAGTCACGTTACATCAAGCCCACCCTAACGGCCTCACTTAAATTCGATTACTTCTGTAAAGATCCTATCTCCAAATAAGGCCACATTTTGGGGCACTGGGGTTTAGCATTTCAATATTTGAATTTTGAATGGATGTGATTCAATACATGACAGTTCTGTATTTTCTGTAAAAAAGTTTTTGTATTAAGGAGAATGGCGTGAACCCGGGAGGCGGAACTTGCAGTGAGCCGAGATTGCGCCACTGTACTACAGCCTGGGCGACAGAGCGAGACTCCGTCTCAAAAAAAAAGAAAAAAAGAGTTTCTGTATTAAAAAATAGTTATTTACTCACAGGTTTTCTCCTGTCTGCTTTCAAAGTGATATTATGTGGCTAGAATAAATTGGCATTATACTTGACCCCTAAGAACTCATTTGAATAAATGTACAAAGGAAACAATTCCTTAAAATGTAAAAAAAGTGAAAAAACCTTAAAGTTAACATAAATAATATAAAGCAAGTGTATCTGATGGCAGTGAATTTTATAAGCATGAAGGATAAGTATGCTTAAAGTTTTAGATTAGAAAAAGCTACAGTTACCTTTAAAGAAGATTATAGATATGCCGATATTTTAAGTAGGGCTAAGAGGTATAACCACAGTTCTATTTCTAATTCACTCTGCCATTTTGAAATGAAATGATCATCTATAAAACATTTCATATGGGCATGAATTCTATGATTTTTGGTAGACTTTAAAGAGCTTTTATACCTGAGTAGAAGTCACTGATACTAAAGGTTTCCTGGAGTCTCATATTGTGAAATGGGTTTGGAATTAAGCCAAAGAACATCCTGCCCAGACAGGGTGTAACTGCTCAATGTGAAGCAAAGAACAAAAATGAGGGCAGGATGGAGATTGGAAGACTAATCAGTGCTTACATGAGGCAAAAAATGGATTTCATGACCCTGTAGAGATCCCTTAAAAAATCAACTTAGATTCTAAAGAGGTAGTGGCCTTATCACATGCAGTACACAGTTTTATGCTGTGGTTTTACACTGTTTATATGAGTGTGTTGCTTCATTGATTTATAAGACTGTGCTAAGATTATGATGACACTGGGGGAATATCATACATGCCACTCACTTTGATTTAGACCTGTGTTAATGGCCTTTTCAAGAAAATATACTGAATGTTATGGGACTTGGGGGAGTCTTCATCTTGTCCTTTTTGGGGGAGGTTTTCCTATTGGCTCACCTAATTGTCATTGAAGAATGAATTTTCTACTCCTAGTTTTACCCTTACCTTTTTGCCAAAAAAGTTTTTCTTTATATCTTTAAAGTGTTATTCAATTGTAAAGCCTTAAAATGATAGGCATAAACACCACCTTGGAGCAACATAGAGCTATAACTTATATCTACCTGCAAGTGAGTTCAAGTATTTTTGAAATATAAATACAAATATTTTATATTATATCAAACATAGAGCAGCATCCAAATTCCTGCACGTTTCATACTTGTATTTAATCATCTGCTGGTGCATAATTATACTTCCATGGAGTTCCAGGACTTTCCCAGATCTAACCTTGTCTGGTCCCTTTGTATTCCTTTAATATTTCCCTTTCTCCTCTATGGGATTGATACACGTTATCTGTAAAAAGGATACTGTAGTGTATAAGTGGTATTGAGACCTTCAGAGATTTCCTCTTTAATGCTATACCTTGTTCCATCTTAGTTTTTCTATTGGTTGACCATTCTATATCTGTGAGGTATACTTTTCTCTTGCTTGAAAGACTGATAAACTGCTTGATTCCTTACTCTGGAACCACGGGCTCTTTTCTCTGAAGCCTAATCTTGCCCTTTTCTCTCAAACAGAGAATCTTTTGGAATCATAGAACAAGAAAGAACCTTGTTTGGTTCAGCCCTAGAGCCTATGACATTTGTGTGCCCCCTGTGATCCAAGTTTCTATCAGGCGTTGCCTGGTACTAAGTTTGGGCAGTCCTGGCCAAACACAGTAAATTACTCTTCCATTTCTCCATAGGAAGAAAAATGGCTCATAAAAGCAGACTTCATCATCATCATATATATTAATGTGAAACTGTAAATTCATTATTGCTATGAAGATTTAGATATAGCGCATGAAGAGCTGATCAGTAATTTTAATTGGAGCATCCTTGAAGGTTGCATTTGTACCCTCCATGAACTGACTGTACCATTGTACTCAATGAGTGACATTTGATTGTCTACCCAGCATTATCCTCTAGGATCCTTTTAAATGTGAGAGGTAAGCTGGCTTCCTGGGGGCCTAATCCAATCTTGTTTCTTTTGGCTGGCAAATTTTTGGGAAAAAAAGAGAATTTTCAGTGTTTAAAAAAACAAATGAGTGTATAAAAATCTAAATTTTATACTTCAGAAACTAATAGCAATAGCAACACTGCACTGCTATCCCATTATGCTTAATTGGCTGGAGCTGAGCAGGGGCTGAGGTCTTTAAGGACTTGCTGTCCATGGCTTGTCATGGGTCCACCTACTCATTTTTGTTTATTTCTTGGCTGCTGTCAATGTAGCATGATATTCCCCAACAGAGGGAATATCTAGCCACTTTTGGTGAAATATGCCCCCTGTCATTAGTTGTAATTGTACTTTTCCATGTCCAAAGACATTCAGCATATTTATATACATATTTTTGTTCCCTTTAGTTAAATCATCTAAATATCAAATAGATTTTAAGTCTTTCTCTGATCTCCTATCATTAGATCTTTTAATATGCTTTCATATTTGCACAATTTCCAGTGTAATATTATTGACAATATCTTAAACTTTGAAAAAAAAAGCTCTAAATCTTTTAGTGAAATATAAATATTAAATTTCTTCTACCTTTTCTTATGCAAGTCTAAAAATCTAAAGTCTGTTTCCAAATAATCCTTCCAATACCTTCAGAATTTCAGATTCTGAACTATAGGGCACTATATATTTCAAGGTTAATAATTATAACTTTAACCCATATTATGTGCCTTTATGCCAAAAGAAAAATTGATTTCCATTTAAATAAAACCTCAAATATTGCAAGATAAAGTGTTTACCTATTATAAATGTGTAGTAGTAATAGCAGTGGAATACCGGGGTAGAGAAAAGTTTGGTCATTGCTAGGTAGTAATTGGAAATATGAAAAGGAATATAACATCTGTACTTCCAATGGCTCCTGTTCAATTTAAGCACTGGATAAATATGGACAAAACACATTCTAACCAGCCTTACCTTTCTTAATTAACCTTCATTAATTGATCATGAAATAACTCTGACCTAAATCAATTTTGATGAAGTCATTTTCAGAAGAAGATGTGCCACATTAGTATTTGTAAACAACAATAATCAGATTTTCTCTTTGCATTTCTAAAGAACACTTTTAAATAGAGGGCTTCAGAAGCAATGGAAATGGGACAGAGAAGCATGGTCTCAAAAGAGATGGCACCCTCCTGGATCACTGTTACAAGAGTGCAGGGGAGCTGGGTAATTGGTAAGGAGCCAGGCACTCCTGGTATCTGACTTTGCTGCCCCTACTCTGCTTTCCTAAACAAATAATTTTATTTATATTGCTCACCGGAATGAACTAGAATTTCAAACACCAGCATACAGGACCTCTTTCATCCCAGAGGCTTTCTGAGGCAAAGAGCAAGTGTTTCCTGCCAAGACTGAGGTTTCTCCTCTGATGTTACTCAGTTGCTGAATGAAACTGTTTTGAAATTACTGCAAACAGAGGAGTCAGAAGTGTGAGTGCTAGAAATGTAAGAAGTCGTAGTACTTTTTCCCTGCTCCATGTAGAATACCTACACACTTGCAAAAGAGAGAACAATAGTGGTTCGTTCTCTCTCTATATATATTTCTCTCTCTCTCTCATGTGGGGTGTGTGGGGTGTGTGTGTATGTGTAGTTTTTCTTTCCAATACTCATACTTGTCTGATGCTGCTTTAAATGTTTCCCTGTCTGGGAACACTATGGATGGATGACAGTGAAACAAAAAAGCAAGGGCTTTCATTTGATGTGCATCATTGTGTTAATTAGGAATCAGGTGGTATGTTTCCTGAAGTAAGCAAAGAGAAAATAGTATTTATGGAAGCTGTCAATGTACAACATGTATACTTCAGCTTTGGCCCTGTGCAAAAAATAGTAGAGATCCTATTTCAAGATGTATTAGAAAATTAAGCCCTTCTTTGACTAGTAGCTTGTCAAATCTGATGATTTCACATGTGAAATAAAAAGAAAAGCAGACTTTCTTTACTGATGAGCTCCCCACCCACCCACCACCACCACATTCTTCCAACTCTGTTGCCCACCTAGTTTAAGGTTCTGGAATTGTCCCTCTTATAGTTATTTTCTATTTCTAATCATAATATAATGGTTACTTCTACAACCTTAGCTTCTGTTTTCTTAATTGGAATAAATAGCAATCAATCCTGTTAAAATTTGTCTTAATAAATACTTTTAACTTAACATTATTTCTGTATGGAGCTGGCCCAGTACTTAAATAGATAGCTCAAATGTCCAAGAGCTAAGGATTAATGTTTTGGTCTCAGTAATTATTATATACACTGTCTGAATTTGTTATGTAATTACTTGATATTGTGCTTCATTTTGACTGTTTAGACTTGGCCTTTGAGCACTTGGCATTTTGGTCACAGAAAGGAATCTACAAACGCATCCCTTGGCTAATAAATGTAATAGTACATGATAGGGTGAATTCCAATTAGACAGTCTCACATCTTTAGTACACTAGGGTCAAGAATTTCAAGTAGCAGAATAGTGTGTTTATCTCATTAGTATATGCAGCTTTGAAATTGATTATTGCAATAATAAGTTTTAAAAATTAGGGTAATTAAAATTTGCAGTATTTCCTTTTTATGTTGGGTAAATGTTATTTTTTAAAATTTTAAGATAGTATACAAATTAATCTTTAGGGTTTTGATTTTCTAAAATATGTGACTTTTTGTAAATAAGCAGTTTTATGGGAAAGGCCAGAGAGTCACAGATGTGATATTGAAGAACGAGAAAAGTTGGTATAAACAACTCTTTACCTCTGAGAATTGTCTTAAGACTATCTTTTTCCTTAAGTGTGCTCATATTCCCCTCCATTTCTCAAACATCTTTTTTTTTTCTTTTGCCTTGAGACCTGGAAAACTGGAACAGGAAATTACCTGGCTGAAATGGTTTTTATATAGATTAACCTGTGGTAGAAAGACACATCTGTCTATATATGATCTCTCTACTTATCATCTACCAACAGGTATTTAACAAACATTTATTATATTCAGTGATCTTTGCTGGATGCTATTGAGGAAAACAAAGAAATTCTACATAGCATGTGCCTAGATTCAGGGGTTTACAATTTGATAGAGGGAGGGTAGAAACTTTCTTAGGATGGAGGTTACAGGAATGTTAACTTTGGCCAGACATAATGGCTCACACCTATAATGCCAGGACTTTAGGAGGCCAAGGCAGACAGATTGCTTGAGCCCAAGAATTCAAGACGACTCTGAGCAATGCGGCAAAACCCCATCTCTACAAAAAAATACCAAAAAAAAAAAAAAAAAATTAGCCTAGGGTGGCTAAAGTGGAGGGATCACCTGAACCCGGGATGCAGAGGCTGCTGTGAGCCATGATCGTGCCACTGTGCTCTAGCCTGAACAACGGAGTGAGATTCTGTTTACAAAACAAAACAAGAATGTTAACTTTGAGCAACAAAACAACAGAATTTGATTATAATCTAAAGAATAAAGTATCCCTGAGACCATACTTATATAAATAAGTGATTGAATAAATAACTCAATGGGAGGAAAGAAAAAAGTCTCCTGTATAGAAAAACTACTTCCATTTCCAGGAGGTAGATCTTCATTTCTCTCCCTTTGAGTGTAGGCTGAACTTAGTGATTGGATTCCGAAGAATAGAGGATAGAATTGATAAAATGTAAATCTTATAATGAAGATTCCTGGAAGATACCATCTTAACCAAGTGACCAAGGTTTATATTACTAGTGATAAGTCATGTTGATATCATGTGCCCCCTGGTATCTATCTTATGAGAGAACACCTTACCTCTGGGTAAAAGGTATGAAAATTATTCTTTCTATAATTCTCCTGTAATGTGAGAAAACACCAGAGAAACACAAATTGAAGAATATTCTACAAAATACCCGGGCAATACTCTTTTTTTAAGAAATACTTTTTTTAAGAAAAAAAATTCTATTTTAACTCTTTGCCCATTACACTTCTACTGGTCAATACTCTTTAAGACTCTCAAGATCATAAATATCAAGAGGGATGGAGAAACTGTTACAGACTAGAGGGAGCTAAAGAGACGTGACAACTCATTGCAACTTGGTAACCTGAGTTGGATCTTAAAACAGAGAAAATATTAATGGAAAAACTACTGAAATCAGAATCTAGTCTGTAGTCTAATTAATGGTACTATACTAGTGTTAAATTTTTAGTTGTGACAAACATACCCCTAATTAACATTGTCGGGGAGTGGGAGAAAGTATAAATGTACTTTCTGAACTATCTTTGCAACTTTCTCCAGAATAATAAAACATTTTTTAATGCATGTTATTATTGTTCAACTGTGTGTTACTAAGAGCTACTAATATATATTTTTTGACATGGAGTTTCCCTCTTGGTGCCCAGGCTGGAGTGCAATGGCGCAATCTCTGCTCACTGTAATCGCCGCCTCCTGAGTTCAAGTGATTCTCCTGTCTCAGCCTCCTGAGTAGCTGGGATTACAGGTGCATGCCACCATGCCTGGATACTTTTTGTATTAATATTATTATTATTATTATTTTTAGTAGAGACGGGTTTTCATCATATTGGTCAGGCTGGTCTCGAACTCCTGACCTCAGGTGATTTGCCTGCCGTGGCCTCCCAAAGTGCTGGGATTACAGGCGTGAGCCACCATGCCCAGCCAAGAGCTATTAATCTTAAGGGAAAGTAAAGTAGGTGAGATGGCTTTTGGGGGAAATTAACTATAGGACAGTCCCCAAAGGATGGGTAGAATTTGAGGCACAGTCACTGCTTCTTTGAAACCATGAGGTTTTGTCCCAGATATTTTTCTTCTAATCTATGGAATAAGGCAGAATTCTCCTAAACACTGGCTCAAGTAATTTTAATACCAAAGCAAAGTAATTTCAAGTTAAGTTTAAGAGTGCTGAGATTAGCTAACTCCATCCATGACTTCATTTATCCAGGGTCCCTGAGCATTGTCCAAATTGCAGGACACTTCTTCACCTTCCTGAGGTTCCACCTTCCAATGTTCCTCTGTTCATTGATTCCAATGTGCTCTCTGCATGAAAATTGTCTGCGATCTTAGTTTGATCTTAGACTGTTCCTTTCACCTTGAGGCTTTTACAGAATGAGGCATCATCCAAAATCAAAACTTTTCATTTACCTTCTCCAGTGTGCTCTCTTTATTCCCCACTACTTCAGAAGAAGTTGAAAAGGCAATTAAAAGGGATCAAAACCACTCAGACCCATAAGGATTTTAAGCCATTTATTTCATACTTTAAAAGGAAAAGGTAATTCTCATATAGTGTATTGAAACACAAAACTGTGGGAAAATGATGAAAAGGTAGATACCCTTTCAATTAGTTTAGATTAACCCTAGTACTAATATCTAATAACAGCAGTGAAAAAACATATAATTTCACTTATGTATAAGACGCAAAGATGCAAAAAAAGTATGTATAAGATGCAAATGTTTGTATAAGATTCAAAGATGCAAAAAAAAAAAAACTATTAGCAAATGTAGGTAGCGGTTTATTGAAAGAACAACATCATAATCATAAATACAGAAAGATTCCTCCTTTTTAATGACTGCACATTTCATAGTATCCATGTACCACAATTTATTTAATCCTCTCTATTGGTGACTATTTGGGGATTCTCTTAATTTTGTTGAATATGATAATGTAATATTAAACTTTTTTTACATATATTCTAGCGCACATCTTTCTATAGGAGTTATGTTAAGAAGTGGAATTAGTGGCCACAAGGATATCTGAATTATAATATAATATCTACGTGATAAAAAAGTAATCTAGAAAAGAAAGAAAAATGTCTTAATTTGATGGAATATATTAATGAATAAACAAACATACTTAGTTATATAAATTATGCAAAAAAACTTTTAAAAACTAAAAATTATATAAAATATGCAAATAGCACTGTGTGTTGTAAATATTCTACTAATAAAAATTTTTTAGCAGGCTGGACTGTAGCAATCTGGACTGTATTAAAACATGAGTGTGTAGATGGATAAATGCATAGGCAGATGTATATGCACAATTTAAATAGTATTATAATATGCCATTGTTCTACAACTTTTAAATTTTTTATCAATAACATATTAAGCTCCTTCTATATGAGTACATAAAGTTCTTTCTCATTCATTTTTAACAGTTGCATACTTCAAAGTGCAAATGCATTGCAAGTTATTTAATTCTCTTTCTACTTTGGATGTTTTGGGTTTTCTCCAAATTTTATTTTTATGATAATGTTGCTTTGAACATTTCTGCACATCTATCCTAATGTTCATATATTTTCAGGATTGAAATCAAGAAATGGAATTTGTAGCCTAAATAGGATGTGCATATTGAATTTTAGTAGATGCTGTCAATCCCCTTTCATAATGAAAGTGTCCATGTATACTACACTGATAGTTTATAAGAGTACTTGCTGCCTCAAATCATTGTCAGCACTTTTTACTTTATGATAATCTGAAAGGGGAAAATGGCTTCAGGTTGAGAGGCATTTGTATGTCCTTTTCTGTGAAGGATGAACTCTAGGCTAATCCCCATTGTTCCCAGCCCTGGTGTTCACTCCTGTGTAATCTCCTTTCCTCACATGTGGGGAGGACCTGTGACTTGCTTGTAGTCAGTAAATATTGCAAAGATGAAGTAACACTGAAGATCTATTTATAGTCTCAAATCAGTTGATTTTGAGTTAATCAAATGGGAAGTCATCCTGGGTGGGCCTGAGTCAAGAAAAGCCCTTACAAGATGGACTAGGCTTTCCCACAGGTGTGAGATTCTCCTTTTGGGCTCAGTGAAGTAAGTGGCCATGATGGAGAAGCCCATGAGGAAGGAATTGCAGACAGCCCCCTTTGAACTGCAGGCAGCCTCTTGGACTCAAGCTGCCTAGACAGCAGAAGCAGGGACCATCAGTCCCACAACCATAAGGAATAAATTGTGCCAACAACCCAGATAAGCTTGAAAGTGGGTTCTTCACCAGTCAAGCCTCCTGATGAGAACACATCTAGCTGATGCTTTACTTGCAGCCTTGTGAGATGCTGAGCAGAGGCTCCAGCTAAACTGTGCTCTGCTCTGACCCCTGACCTATAGAAACAGTGACATAATAAAGGTACGATGCTTTAAGTCATTGTTTGATGTAATTTGTTATGCAACAATAGAAACTAGTAAGTCTTCTATGAATTGTTCATATTCACAGACTATCATTTCTTTGGTGGCTATATTTTCTTGATGTTTTTAGAACTCTTAATTAGTGGGCAGAAACATTCTTTGTTTTCTGTCTATTGTTTTCTCCCAGTTATTATGGGATTTTTAACTTGCTTTACAGTGAAATTCATTATTATATTCTACATGTGACCTAAGTTTACAACTTGCTTAAGAACTACTTATTACCTTCAGAGTACAAAAATAAACTTTCATATTTTCTTCTAGTATTTAACCTCCACTTCCCAGGTTCCAGCGATTCTCCTGCCTCAGTCTCCCAAGTAGCTGGGATTACAGGCACACACCACCATGACTGGCTCATTGTCGTATTTTTAATAGAGATGGGGTTTCACCATATTGTCCAGGCTGGTCTGGAACTCCTGACCTCAAGTTATCCACCCACTTCAACCTCCCAAAGTGCTGGGATTACAGGTGTGAGCTACTGTGCCTGGCCTAGTTCTTAAATCTGTTTATTTTGTATATGAGTGAGACAGGGATGTACTTTATTTATCATTCGAAGTTAGTTTGATAAGAAAGTATATACCACTTTACATTAGTCCAGCAGTTCCTTAAGTAGTTTATAAATATTAGATTGACTACATAAAAATCCTTTGAGATAGGTTTTATTATCTTCATTTTATAGGTGAGGAAATTATGGCACAACAACGTTAAGGGACTTTCCCATGGCCACACACTAGTAAGCAGTGGGCCAAGGATTTTAGCTCTGGAGTCTGTCCCCTTAAACTTTATAAAACTTTATTAGAATAGGTTAAAGAAAATGGGAGGGGAGGAAATGAGGACAAAAGGTTTAGGTAAAATTGTTAGAAGTTTTATGAGAATTAGAAGTGGTGAAATTGCAAGGAGAATGAAGGTGTATCAAAGGAAGGTTTTTTGTTTTGTTTCTTAGAAGGAAAGTATTACGTGTGTATGTTAATAGGAATAGGAATATTCCAATCAAGAGGAAAAAACTGATTATGAAAAAGAGAGAATGGAAAATGAAAAGGAGTGATATCTTCAAGTGAATGGGGGGCAGGTGGGGAATGTTGGAACCAAGTGCATAAGTGGAGGAGTGGCTTTAATGTAAAAGCACAGGCACTTTATCCATGGTACCTGAGAGACAGTCAGAATATGGATCAAGATGCAGGTTGGTTTTTAGATTGGCATTGGAAGACTTACAAGTTCTTTCCTGATTGCATCTCTTTTCTCATTATAACGAGAAACAATCCTATCAGCTGAGATTAGCAAAGAGAAAGTGGTCTTGAAGTTTTGTGGAGAGGGTTGATGGTGTGAAATGGTCATTTAGGATAGTGTGAAAGTAAACCCACTAGGAAAATGCAGTAGGATTATCAGATAGCACTAGTGTTCACTTGGAGGTAGAAGTCATGCCTTTAAAAGGAGACTGTTGACTTTGTTTTGATTCTTTCCTGCCCCTTACAGCTATGCAAGGGCAGTCATGAAATAGGCAAAACATGGGATTTCCCCCTAGTTTCACATTTTGCCTGGTGGGAAAAATGCAGG
This sequence comes from Homo sapiens, assembly GCF_000001405.40. Classification (NCBI taxonomy): domain Eukaryota; kingdom Metazoa; phylum Chordata; class Mammalia; order Primates; family Hominidae; genus Homo; species Homo sapiens. The sequence goes on along the minus strand of NC_000013.11, from coordinate 74,879,362 downwards.
GTAAAGGGACTACTGTGGGTTGAATTGTGTGTCCCAAAAGATGTGTTCAAAACCTAAGCCCTGGTATCTGTGAACACGAAAATTTGGAAATAGGGTCTTTGCAGATGTAATCAAGTTAAGATAAAGTCATGATGGATTCGGATGGGCACCAATCTGATGACTCATAAGAAGAGGAACTTTGGACACAGACACACAGGAAGTATGCCATGTGAAGACAGAAGAAGAGATTAGAATGAGGCATCTACCAGACAAGAAATTAAAAAGATCATCAGCAGTCACTGTAGGGTAGGAAGAGGCAAGAAATGATTTTTCCCCAGAGTGTCCAAAGAGACCATGGTTCTGCCAACACCATGATTTCAGACTTCTGGACTCACGAAATTTGAGAGAATAAATTTGTGTTGTTTTTAAGTCACCCAGTTTGTGATACTTTGTTATGGCAGGCCTAGGAAACTAATACAGGGACAAAGCAACTTGAGGGTATATTCAAGGAAGTAACTAAAAGTATGAGCCATAACTCTAAGCTTCTTAATAAAAGTCAGTTGTGGTTGGGGAAGGGTAAGAGATAGAGTAAATGTAGTGGGGTGAATGGACTGAAGATCCAGTCATATCAGAGCATTTGTGGAGCTGGAGTATTAAAGGGGCAGCAGGAAGGATAGGAACTAATGGAAAGAGAATGGAATAACTGAATTCAGTTATGGAAAGGATCCACTCTTCAGGGCTCTTTTCCACTCTTCTCTGAGTTCTGGCAGCCTGACTTTCCCAGATGGCATCAGCCAAGCTCACCTGTGACCTCTGGTTTCTAGTTGGTTCAGAAAATGGGTATTATTGGCAGAGAATTGGAAATCATCACTTATCCTATTCTATTGTCTCCTTCCTTCCACACAGGTTATAAAAGTGATCCAATCTTTCTAACAGAAACAAACAAACAAAAAGAAACAGGTAGAAAGTTTAAAAGGAGCTGAGGAAGCAGAGATGAACTAATTTAAATTTTGGGGAGCCTGGTCGAGCAGAGAAGGAGAAAAAAATAAAGCATTATCTAAAACTGCTGAAAGAAGTCTGGGCAACATAGCAAAATCCTGTCTCTACAAAAAAATACAAAAATTAGCTGGGGCTGATGGCAGATGCCAGTAGTCCCAGCTGCTCAGGAGTCTCAGGTGGAAGGATCACTTGAGTCCAGGGAGGTCAAGGCTGGAGTGAGTTGTGATCATGCCATTGCACTCCAGCCTGGGCAACAGAGTGAGACCCTGTCTTAAAAAACAATAAAAAATTTAAAAATAGTGTTGAAAGAGGTGTTATATATTTTTTGAAATAAAAAATGATTTTATTAATCCACTTTCATGCTGCCGATAAAGGCATACCCAAGACTGGGCAATTTACAAAAGAGAGAGGTTTAATGGACTTACAGTTCACTAGGCTGGGGAGGTCTCACAATCATGGTGGAAGATAAAAGGCACATCTCACATGGTGGCAGACAAGAGAAGAGACCTCATGCAGGGAAACTCCCACTTATAAAGCCATCAGATCTCATGAGATTTATTCACTATCATGAGAACAGCACAGGAAAGACTTGCCCCCATGATTCAGTTACTTCCCACCCAGTCCCTCTCACAACACATGGGAATTCAAGATGAGATTTGGGTGGGGACACAGCCAAGCATATCAGTGACATATACACATGATACCAAAAGTACTGAAGAACTCACAATGAACAGCCACAATCCCCTGTACTCTTCATCCCACTATGGTTAGGATTCAGGCATTTTCCTTCTCTGAAAACTGCTCTGCCCATGTTCACCAAGGACGCTGCATTCCACTGGACATTTTCCTCCATAACATTTGGTTTGTTAGCCACCTTCTTTTTCTTGAAACTTGGGCTAACTTGGATTCCATGCAACATTTTCCCTAGAGCAGCTCTTAGGCCTCTGACTTCCCTCCTCTCCTGTTGCTTTTCAGGCCCCCTTTTTTCCCTCATGTGATAAATATTGCAGATCTCTAGGCTTTGTCTTCACCCTCCTTGCATTCAGCCTGCTCATCCTGCGTGGTCCTATCTGCTCCCTTGGCTTTAAGTGGCACCTAGCTGCCAAGGATGTACAACTCTAGTGAAAGTGTCTCTCCTGGGCTCTAGGATCATCTGTCTCTATCTGTTGACTAGACTCACGGGAACCCCACAGGAGCATCAAACTCAACAGGTTCAAAAACAAACTCATCAGCCTCATTCCTGTTCCCAGATATTTTCTGTCCTCTTTATCAATTATTGGTGTTAATCAGTTAAAAGTTGTCAATTAAAAACACCACTTTCACCAAATCCCACAACAAAGTGCATCAGTTGGGCACCTCAAGTATCAAAGACACAAAATAATGGCGTTTTAAACAAGGTATAATTTATTGTATATTTAAGGTTATATTTCCACAAGAAAATGATTTTGTGACTCTAAAATATACAGTTTATTGTCAATGATTTGACTACTTACATACATCAAACCTATCATTTAAATTTAATAAAATTTATGTCAAATATACTTTATATTTAGTTATTTGAAACAAAACTAAGGATTTTATTCCTTTATTTAGAAAAAGGGGCAATTATTCAAATACTAAGTATTGGTTTTGATCTGTTTTCTCCATATTTATAGATCTGGCATTTATTGTAAAATACTGGGGAAAAAGAATGCAAATATATGGATCAGTGGGAAAATCTGATTAAAACCTTCAGTTTTTAAGGTTTCTGTTTATGTGCATTTATAATGATAGATGGTGCCCTTAATGAAGACTACCTCTATTCTTGATTCATCTTGGGTTTTGGGGTTGTAATGAGGAAAAACATGGAAATATATTCCAATTTACAAAAGTCCATCTTTTCCTTTAAATATGTAAATTATCAATGGAATCCTACATTCCATTTTTTAAAATAAATGGAAAGTTGTTCATGATCATTAACATAAAATATTACATAGTCCTTAGGGCACAGTACAGAAAACAATCTTAGAATGCGGGAATTCTAACCTTGGAAGAGACCTGTGAAGTTATATATAGCTTAATAGTCATGAACTGGTGCCATATAGGCCAAACATGGCTTGTTAATATTGTGTGTGTGGGTGGTGGGTGGGGGGAGGGTGCATGCATCCTGAATGCCATCAGCTGGGTGGAGTTTGGGGAAGCATCTCTCTCCAGTGTGCCTCATACCTTATCTTCTTATTAGTACATTTCTCATCGGCTTCACCTCACCTGCCTGCCTAGGCCGTTGAAGACATCTAAGTTTGTTCCTCCAGCTAGTTCCTCTTACCTTCCAATTAAGCACATCTGCCAGGTGGTGCTCCAGTCTCTGTTTGAACACTCTCAGGCAGGGGGAACAGAGAGCTTATAAAAATTTCAGGCAGCCTTCCTTGTTAGAAAGTTTGCTGAGACTGAGCCGCAACTTGATTCCCAGTAACTTCCACCTAATAGTTGAGCCACAGGGAACAAACTTGACACCTCTTCCACGCAACAAAACTTCAGATAATTGATAGGACCTATTGTCTCCCCATTTCATTCTAGGGCTTTTCTTCTCAAGGTTAAACACCCTCAATTTCTTTAATGTCCCTCATTTGGCATTCACCATCTTGATAATCGTCCTTCAAACAAATGTAATACTATTTGTCAATGACCCTTATAAAATGTGTTTCTGAGAGGGAACACAATGATCTACACGTGGTCTGCCCAGCCCAGGGTAGAGAGGGGCTATTAACACCCATGTTCTGGGCATTACACGTCCATTAATGAAATTGAGGGTTGCATTAGCTGTTTTTAAGCAGTTAGTAACAGTGATGAAAATGATGGTTAAAGCATGAAATGCAGCTTGGCTGAGTTCAAAGAAAGTAATGGAGGTGCATATTAACATTGAAGAAGATTCTCCTCTATTTCAAAGGACACAGGGAATTATATAAGCGAAGGTATATGTTTTTTAAAATCTGAGATGAACAAAAGCAATAATGGAAGTATCTGGGTTGAAAATGATTGCTTTTTCTTTTTTTTCTTCTTCCTGTAATGTGGTTATCACATATGTTTTATAATTTAAAAAACTTTAAAATATATTGTCAGTATATGCATATCACCACTCTATTCCAGTATATATTTTATCTCCCACATTTCTTTTTTTAATTATACTTTAAGTTTTAGGGTACATGTGTACAACGTGCAGGTTAGTCACATATGTATACATGTGCCATGTTGGTGTGCTGCACCCATTAATTCGTCATTTAATATTAGGTATATCTCCAAATGCTATCCCTCCCCCCTTCCCCCACCCCACAACAGGCCCCAGAGTGTGATGTTCCCCTTCCTGTGTCCATGTGTTCTCATTGTTCAATTCCTACCTATGAGTGAGAACATGTGGTGTTTGGTTTTTTTGTCCTTGTGATAGTTTGCTGAGAATGATGGTTTCCAGCTTCATCCATGTCTGTACAAAGGACATGAACTCATCCTTTTTTATGGCTGCGTAGTATTTTGTGGTGTATATGTGCCACATTTTCTTAATCTAGTCTACCATTGTTGGACATTTGGGTTAGTTCCAAGTCTTTGCTGTTGTGATTAGTGCCGCAATAAATATACGTGTGCATGTGTCTTTATAGCAGCATGTTTTATAATCCTTTGGGTATATACCCAGTAATGGGATTGCTGGGTCAAATGGTATTTCTAGTTCTAGATCCCTGAGGAATCGCCACACTGACTTCCACGATGGTTGAACTAGTTTACAGTCCCACCAACAGTGTAAAAGTGTTCCTATTTCTACACATCCTCTCCAGCACCTGTTGTTTCCTGACTTTTTAATGATCGCCATTCTGACTGGTGTGAGATAGTATCTCATTGTGGTTTTGATTTGCATTTCTCTGATGGCCAGTGATGATGAGCATTTTTTCATGTGTCTGTTGGCTGCCTAAATGCCTTCTTTTGAGAAGTGTCTGTTCATATCCTTCACCCACTTTTTGATGGGGTTGTTTGTTTTTTTCTTGTAAATTTGTTTGAGTTCATTGTAGTTTCTGGATATTAGCCCTTTGTCAGATGAGTAGATTGCAAAAATTTTCTCCCATTCTGTAGGTTGCCTGTTCACTCTGATGGTGGTTTCTTTTGCTGTGCAGAAGCTGTTTAGTTTAATTAGATCCCATTTATCTCCCACATTTCTATATACTTGAATTTTACTTACATAAAAATAATGCTCAAATACGCATACATATTTACATTACTATGTCTTCTGTTATCCAAAGTCATCTTTTGAAATTTGTCAAGGGAAACAAATATTTTCATCTCACTTTTGTAAATAAAATAATTTCTTATATGAATTTATTGCTTCATTTTCCCCAGTTGCATCTGTTCCACATTCCCACAGTTGGCCTTTATGATCACAGATCAGAGATAAGGCCCATTTTGATTACTAGGCTATTCAGACGGGACAGAAAATATGCAAATATTTTAGCTTCAATACTTTAGTTTAGGACCTGGTAGGTGCTTCCAGGGCAACAGCAGGGTTTTCACATTGTCTCCTTAAAGCCTCTTTCCCCTTTCCCTCACTCACCTTCCAAGGTGAATTTGCTGTATAGCTAAAAGAGTGTGAGCTACAGAACACCACTTACATGAACCCTTCTAAGGTTCTGAGAGGCGGATTACCTTTGTATTAATAACTCTTATATTCTTTTGCTTAAATAGGGCCTCAAACTTATATGAACCATTGATCCCACAACACCTGGTTCTACCCTGCCTATCCTCTTTCCAAAATTTCTTTTGCACACCTGGCAGCCTTTTCATTTATCCCTGTATTGGCTTAATTTTGGGTTGTGGGATTCTGCTTTGGTCCTTGATCCTAAGTTCCAACCCAGCCCTTAAGCCAGCACAGCATTTCCCTGCTTCCTTTCAATGACTCAGGATGTGTCTCTCCTCTCTTATTTTTGCCAGTCTTCTTGTCCAGGGAGTTGTTCTCCTGGTCATTGCCATCTGAGGCTTGGATGTTTGGGATGAATAATGCCTGTCTACTAGTCCTCAGTCTAGAATGCTTTCTCACTGCTCTTTGATGCCCAGAAGAGTAACTTTGCTCATTACCTTTCTAGAGCCCTGTGCCTGACTCTTCTGCTATGTTTCAGCATCATGTCATATGGTCTAAGTTGTTTTCTCCAATGAGGTTAGCCCTAGTGGGCATTTGAATAAGGTCTGGCCCATTTTTCCCACTCACCTGGGTCACTGTAAAGAGTCTCAAAAGCCTTATACCAAAGAAATGACATATATGTGAGATACATACGTTCCTCCATGTTGAGAATGAAGACATAATTTCAATAGAAATGGCTCTAGTGCAATAGAAAAAGGGGAAATGGTGAGATCAAGTGAACGTGAGGCCATTGTCAATTTCTGCTCTTTTCTAAGATTTTAGCATCGACTCTATATTCTTTTCATCTAATTTCTAGCAACATTCCCAGTGACTTCAGTATAATCATTGGTGTCTCTGCCAATACTCTGGCTTCCTTAGTTTATAACATCAACTTCAGTGATATTTACTTTCTACTTAGCTTTAGAGTCCCATGTACAGGTACTATTATCATCTTGATCCTTGAAGCAGGAATGAAAGATGCTGTAGTCATCATATACTTCCAATCATGACTAGCATGGTGCTTTAAATACATATTAGGAGCACAAAAAATGTTTGCTGATAAAATGAATCAATAAATTTTTGGAAAGTGTAGCTATAAAATCAAGAATGATGAATGAAGCTGAAGTGAGGTAGTGTCCTGGGAATAATAATGGAAAGTTATGATCAGGAAAACATTTTCTCAAATTATCATTCAAGTTCAAATACTATGCTCCCTTTTGATGTATTCTAAATATGAATAGCATTAATAAAGTTTAAGAATTATAATTTTGCATCTAATTGCAGGGTATATCTGTTTGCATTAATATTATTTAATGTATTTTAAAACTATACAGTATCGCTTAATGATCCAGCAATACCTTGTACCTCATCCCTCAAAAAGATAAGTTTCACAAAGCAATTCAGATCATATCTAAAATTCTATTTTAACAAATAATTGATTAAGGTAATGGTATTTACATTGTTAGCTGAAATCTAGTATTCTCCAAAGTTATTTCAATAACATGATACATCATATATGTAATATGATATATATCTAAAAGGCACAGGGCTAAAGTGAGTTATCGTAGTGTTTCTGCATATTTGAGAATGCAAAATGACTGAGACTGTCCATCTTGTTTTTGAAGGATGCCAACAAGCTGGTATTATGTCCTGGTCTTCCCTTTGAGAGTTGTGAGTACACACATTATCAGAGATCTGACTGCAGATTTTGCCCATAAAAATAACTCTGATGTGGCTTGAAGCACAACTTTTATGAGACTCTTTGATTTGTTTCCCAAAGGTCAAGTTCAATCCTGATGGCTTGCTGTAGGAATGTTTTAATTTTTATTCAGTAATCCCCACTTCCTCTAACTGCCTTGCACATCCCATCACCCAGCAAATAAAAATCCAAGCAGTAAAGTTGGTTAGCTAGGCATACTCTGTAAAACATGATGATTTATTCTTTCAGTGACCTTAATGATAGTTTTAGTGTAGTAAATTTTTTATTACAGTAAATTATTTATTGCAGGAGAGGTATGTAAGTCAACAAGGAAGATGGAAATAATAGTGGAGAATTTATGTTGTTTTTCTGAAGAGTCTTGTTTCCACCCCTCACCCCTTTTGTGCTTCTAATAAAAACCTTCCATTATGCAAAGTAAATGCTCAAAATAACATGGGATAGTTTTTGTCTGTAAAGAGGGGACACTACACACACTGTTTCCAGAGGGGTTTCCAATAGGGGCTCCTTGCATTCTTTCCACTTGTTCTGGAGCCAATTAACTCACTAGCTGACTGCCAGAGATCCTTTTCAATTGTGACTGTCCAGCAAGCATTAGAGTTCTAACATTTCCCAGGCTATTAATATTCTTACAAGAGATATAAAGGCCTTCAATGCTTTATCAAGAACATGTCTAACCTAGGGACAGTGGGGCAGAGGACCAGGAAGATCAAATATCCCCTCCTTATACTCCTTGTCTTATCATTAGCAGAACAGATTGTGACAAGTGAATTGTCACTTGAAGTTAAACATCTATGTAAATTATCCATTATTTGGAATTATGGAAACAGGCATCTTGACATCTATTGTACAATGAAAGCACATGCTTATAGCAAGAACCCTGAGGCTGTCTAAAATCCTGGTCTTCTATGAATCATAAAATGTAGATGACAGATGACTTTATAATCAAATGATTTTATGTATTTACTTATTTATTTAGTAATTGGTTACTCCCATTTAATATAAGTAGTAAATTCCACAAAGTTTCTATGAATCATAGTTCTGGATTAGTCAGGGCTGGCAGTGACCTTGCCAAATAAAAGTTACCATAAAACGTATTACGAGTAAGTAAACTCCATCCTTTAAATGAGAAGCATTATTTAATATTTCAAGAATTCATGATTAATGATGCATTTTAAGCGCCAACATTCATTTTTTTCACTTTATATGAATTGTTTTGTTATTTTGTATCAATAAAAGGAAGTGATATCTTTTTCATAGTTTCTCAGGATCCTGAACACATTACCTGATAGACAACAACTAGTCAATAAATACTCGTTAAATAAATAAGCAGACAAAAGTAAATTTATGTTCAGTTTAGTGAGGTATGTCTATGTTTTTCAAAGAGAATATGTGTTTTACCAACTTTTGTAGCTCTCACATATCTGTGACTATCTTTTTGTTGCTTTCATGAGTAAAAGCCAATTTGGCTGGCATAAAAATCTGGCATCATGAACATTCCCTTCAAACATTGAAAGATACCTCTTCCCTTGTCATTTTACAGTAGCTGTTTAATCTCCATCCAGTGTCTTTTCATGGTTTTCTGCTCCTGTTCTACCGGATCATTTTACTCTATGTATTATCAAGGATCAAACAGCTTTCTGAAAACAGTTCTTCTGGTTCTTAAATACAGGCTTACCTTGATTTATTGTACTTAACTTTATTATGTTTTTTACAAATTGAAGTTTTGTGGCAACACAGTATTGAGCAAGTCTGTTGGAGCCATTTTTTCCAATAGCATGTGCTCCTTTTGTGTCTCGTGTCACATTTTGGTAATCCTCACAATATTTCAGGCTTTTTCATTATTATTGTATCTTTTATGGTGACCTGTGATCTGTGTTCTTTGTTGCTATTGTGTTTTGGGGCACCATAAACCACACCCATGTAACGCCAAACTTAATTCATAAATATTGTGTTCTTACTGCTCCATGAATGAGTCATTCCCCTATCTCTCTTCTTCTCCAGCCTTCCTGTTTCTCTGAGACACAACAATATTGAATTTAGGCCAGTTAATAACCCCACAATGACCTCTAAGTTTTCAAGTAAAAGGGACAGTCACAAGTCTCTCACTTTAAATGAAAAGCTAGAATTGATTAAGCTTAGTGAGGAAGGCATATTAAAAGCCAAGGTAGGCTGAAAGTTAGGCCTCTTGTACCAAACACCTATGTGAATGTGAAGAAAGAGTTCTTGAAGAAAACTAAAAGTGCTACTGCAGTGAACACACAAGTGATAAGAAAGCAAAACAGCCTTATTGCTGATATGGTGAAGAAGTTTGAGTTATCTGGATAGAAAGTCAAACCAGTTATATTTCCTTAAGCCAAAGCCTAATCCAGAGAAAGGCCTCAACTCTCTTCAAATCTATGAAAGTTTAGAGAGGTGAGGAAGCTACAGAAGAAAAGTTGGAAGCTAACAGACGTTGGTTCATGAGGTTTAAGGAAATAATCCATCTGCATAACAAAAAAGTGCAAGGTGAAGCAGCAAGCGCTGAAGTAGAAGCTGCAACAAGTTATCCAGAAGATCTAGCTAAAATAATCGATGGAGGTAGCTACACTAAACAACAGATTTTCATCATAGATCAAACAACTTTATATTGGAAAAAGATGCCATCTAGGACTTTCATAGCTAGAGAAAAGTCAATGCCTGACTTCAAAATGTCAAAGAATAAGGTGACTCTCTTGTTAGGCGCTAATGTAGCTGGTGACTTTAAGTTGAAGCCAATGCTTATTGATCATTCTGAAAATCCTTGGGACCTTAAGAATTATGCTAAATCTATTCTGCCTGTGCTCTATAAATAAAAAAAAACCTGGATGACAGCACATTTGTTTGCAGCATGGTTTACTGAATATTTTAAGCCCACAGTTGAGACCTACTGCTTGAGGGGAAAAAAAAGATTCTTAGTTACTCAAGATCTCTGATGGAGATCTACAAGGAGATTAATGTTATTTTCATGCCTGGTAACACAACATCCAGTCTGCAGCCCATGGATCAAGGAGTCATTTCAACTTTCAAGTCTTATTATTTAAGAAGTACATTTTATATGGCAATAGCTGGTTTTGATAGTGATTTCTCTGATGGATTTAGTAAAAGTAAATTGAAAGCTTTCTGGAAAGGATTCACCATTCTAGCTGTCATTAAGAATGTTCATAAATCATGGGAGAATGTTGACATAATATTAACAAGAGTTTGGAAGTAGTTGATTCCAACTGGCATGAGTGATTGAGGGTTTTAAGACTTCAGTGGAGGAAGTAACTGCAGATGTTGTAGAAATAGCAAGAAAACTAGAATCAGAAGTAGAGTCTGAAAGACGTGACTGAATTGCTGAAATCTAATGATAAAACTTAAAGGGATAAGGCTTCTTATGGATGAGGAAAGAAAGTAGATTCTGGTGATAGAATCTAATCCTGGTGGAGATGCTGTGAATATTACTGAAATGACAGCAACAGATTTAGAATATTACATAAATTTAATTGAACAAACAGTGGCAGGGTTTGAGAGGATTGACTTCAATTTTGAAAGAAGTTTTTCTGTTGGTAAAATACAATCAACCAGCAACAGATGCTACAGAGAATCTTTTTGTTGTTGTGCTTCATAGGTTGAGAAATACAGATAGTTTTTTTATGAAAGCAGGAGTCAATCAATGTGGTAAACTCCATTGCTGCCTTATTTTAAAAATTGCCACAGCCACCCCAATCTTCTGCAACTATCACCCTATTCAATCAGCAACCATCAACACTGAAGCAAGACTCACCCTCTACAGCAAGTAAATTATGACTCACTGAAAGCTCAGATGATCATTAGCATTTTTTAGCAATGAAGCATTTTTAAATTAAGGTATGTACATTGTTTTTGTAGACATAAGGCATTTGCACACTTAAGGGACTGCAGTATATTATAAATGTAACTTTTTGATATGCACTGGGAAACCAAAAAAATTACATGATTTGTTTTATTGTGATATTTGTTTTATTGTGCTGATCTGGAACCAAACCTGCAAATATCCAAGGTACACCTGTAATTTCTTAAGAATACTTTCACTTTGACCTTTTAAGGCATCATTTTTTTTTCATCTATAATATCGTGTTGTTTTCCTTCACTTTTATGATTTTGGTTAAAGGGAGACCTGGGCACTTCTGATATTTCCCATTAGATGAGTTCTATGACTTTTACTTAGTTGAGCCATTTGTGTGTAGAGATCATAGACCTTGAAACCCCAAGATATTTGCATAGAAATCAAAGCCACTGTTTCCATTATTACCCCAAGCAGAGTAGTGAAAGGTGCTCAATATCATTAGTCATTAGAGAAATGCAACTTAAAACTGTAATGTGATACCTCTACATATCTATAAGAATGACTAAGATGAAAACAAAAACAAAAACCATTCCTGCCAAGAGTTGCTGGGGATGTAGATGAAGTAGAACTCTTATACACTGCTGGTGGGAATGTGGAATGTTACAATCACTTGGTAAACCAGTTTAGAGGTTTCTTCAAAAGCTCAACTTGTGTTTACCATATGATCCAGCTGTTTTATTCTTATTTACCCATGAAAAATAGGATATATCCACTAAAAGATTTGTGTATCAATGTTCATAGTAGCTTTGTTTGTTAGTAGCCAAAAACTGGAACCACCCAAATGTCCACCAACAAGAATGGATAAACAAAGTCTGGCATATCCAAGGCCAGGCATGGTGGCTCATGCCTGTAATCCCAATACTTTGGGAGGCCGAGGTGGGCGGATCACGAGGTCAGGAGATCGAGACCATCCTGGCTAACATGGTGAAACCCTGTCTCCACTAAAAATGCAAAAAATTAGCCTGGCACGGTGGCGGGCGCCTGTAGTCCCAGCTATTTGGGAGGCTGAGGCCGGAGAATGGCGTGAATCAGGGAGGTGGAGCTTGCAGTGAGCCAAGATCGTGCCACTGCACTCCAGCCTGGGTGACAGAGCGAGACTCTGTCTCAGAAAAAAAAAAAAAAAAAAAAGTCTGGCATATCCTTTCGATTGAATACTACTCATCAATGCAGCCAACAAACTACTGAAGCATGCTACATTGTGGATGAATCTCAGAGTAATTATGTTGTGTGAAAGAAACTAGAGTAAATACTGTATAATTTATATCAAATTTTAGAAAATGCAAACTAATCTTTAATGACAGAAAGCAGACCATTGGCTGTCTACAGGTGATCAAGGCATATGGAGACAGGAGGGAGAGAAGGATTGCAAACATCCATGAGTTGGGGAGTCATCAATATGTTCATTGCTTTGATTGTGGTGATGGTTTTTATGGGTATACCAGTATACCCAAGTTTATCAAATTGTATACTTTAAACACCATTCATTGCATGCCAATTATATCTCAAAAAAACTATTAAAATATAGACAGAGAGTTAAAAATCCTTATAAAAAGTTTTGAAATATATTACTTTCATATAGCTTTTATTCTTGAAGCTTTATGATTGCCCAAAACATGGGAAATAAAAGGTTTTTTCTTTTAAAAATATCACTGAGATTTTAGCCAGCACATCCAATAGAGTGTGAGAGAAAAAAAAGAGAGAATTTACTGAAGAAAAAAAAGAAACCAGCAAAAAAAAAAAAAAAAAATACGGTTTTAATTCCAGTAATTCCTGGAAAGCAACTCCACAGAAACTTGGCCAGGAGTTGGGAAAAGATCATATAAATGCTTTAGGGCAGCTGTGCCAGGAAAAAGTTATAAATGACTGAAGGATTATGGCATTTGTGATGAGAAAGGAAATTAATCTAACTTGTAGCTTATGCTTTTAAGGTTTTTCAATTAGAAATGTCTACTTTAAAAGTCCAAAGAAATGATTAAGAAGTGAAATTGTGTCTTTAATTGTTTTCTAAGAGTAACATTGTCTGAATATTTGTTAAAATAGTTGAATTTTGGAAATGACCATTTCAAAAACAAAACCAGCATTTGGTCAAACTTGAAATACACTCAAACAATGTTCCCTTGAAATTTACTTTGAGAAAATTGAGTTGCCAATTATAATCATTTATAACTGAGGGTGATAAAACCATTTTTTTCATATTATAAACTGCCTAAAATGTTGGAAAAAGTACTATATAAGGGGAAGGATAACTTATTCTTCTGTTATATGGGGAAAAAAATTACACCATCTCTGGGCCAGAAGCCAAGTCATGTAACTTCTATGGGTCCAAAATTCATCCTCTATATATCAAGTAGTTTAATTCAACTCTCTTAACTTCATTCCAGCTCTGTAATTTATGATTCTATATACTCAGATTAAGGTATATAAGCATATTCAGACCATATCTTAATTTTCTAAAGAGAGAACAGAAGAGGAATACTGCATAAGTGATTAAAGCAAAGAAAAGGAAAATGATGCTGGATTGGCATGAAATTAACTTATAAGCAATATAACTATAATAATAATTGTTAGTATTTTCTTGATCAGTTATGTCCTAAAATTTATCTTTATTTTTTAGTGAAGGCTGCCTGCAAATTAAGGCGAGTACCCTTCCAAGGTCAAATGTGTCTCATGATGTGCAAATAGGTCACTTCTCTTAATCATAGACCTCTATAGCATTGAAATGTTGGTTTATTTTGAATTTGTAGTTGTAAGTACTTTTTCCTAACAAGTTCACTCTACAAAAGAGAGATGGATGGATGGATGGATGGATGGATGGATGGATGGATGGAGGGAGGGACAGATAGATATCATGTGGGATTGCTTGGGTTAGTAGAGCTCAAATACTATAGAATGCTAGAGGTAAAGTAATTAAAAATGTGGAAACATAGACTATGGGAAGTTTATGGGGAAAATATTTGGAAAGTCATACAGATCTATCTTGCATAATTCCAATGATAGATATATGATTTTTTTGTACTGTGGCTGTTTTTCTGATAACATGGCAAATCACATGATTACCATTAAACAGAAAGAAACAACTGACAAAACTATCAGGAAATTAATTTGATATTATATATCAAGAGCATTAAAAAATATTTCCCTTGAACAGAATAAACTTATTCCTGGGACTTTTTTCTCCAAAAATAGATGTGAAGAGTAAGATATGCTTTCATTGCTAGGCAAAACTTTTGAATCTCAAACCATGTGACTGTACCACCCTGTTCCTTCCCAATTTTGTCATGAATTGACCTTTTCTTTTATTGCAGAGTTGATCTCCTGACTTCCAGTCTTCCTCTCCACCCCTCCTGCCTTCATTTTTGGACATTTCATTGTCCACGTAATTTATACATTTAATGTTTCATATTCATAGATCCTTGATGTCCTTCTCATGAATGAGCTTAACACCAAGCATTTAAAGCAACTGACTTAACTGGGTAAATGGTACCAGTGCAAACTGAGATTTCAACTTAAATCAACCTGCATAATCCAGAAATCTTTCTCCTCCATTTCTGTTTTCAATTCTTCTTCCCATTCTCCATACTACCAATTCCAAACTGACATCACTCTTCTGAAATCCTTCATTTCATCTGCATTCCACTTACTCTCATCAATTCATTTCATTTTAAATTTAAAAAGCCATCAACTTTCAGCTTTACCTTGCTCTTTACTTTTGTATACGTAGGAAGAGGTGTCACGTTTCTGTCCATGTGCTTCCTTAATTCTCTGCTATTTCCATTATTACATATTGTCATGTAACAAGTCACCTTGAAAATAAATGACTTCAAAAAAAAGATTATTAATTCATAAGGTTTTGAAATAATATCTCATGTAGTTATAGTTGGATAGTGGTCAATGCGGAAGTCATTTGAAGGTTTGACTGGGCTGGTTGTCAAAGATGGCTTCTTCCTCATACATGTGTCTGATGCCTCACCTGAGATGGCTCATTTGGGAACTTTTCTTTCTCCATGCCTCCCTCCATTCCTCTTCTCTGGCCAGCTTCCTCACAGCCTATGGTTACTAAGCAGTTGGTCTTCTTAGATGGTGTCTGGCTTCCTCCAGAGCAAGCATTTTAAGTGACAAGGGTTCTTCTGACCTATATTCATAAGAAGTCATGAAGTTAGGCAGTGTTAGCTTTACCTCATCTTTGTCAAATTCAAAAGGAGAGAACTATAGAAGGATATATTTATATTGGGGTGTGGTTCTTTGGGAAACTATCTTTGGAAACTACCACTTGCCTTTATAAATCCTGAGAACTTTAAAAGCTTGTGCAATTACTGTATACCCCTTCTTGTGGCTGCCATCTACTTACCTCCTGGTCATGCTCCCACATTTACTTTCATGTTTGGGTGAAAGTATTCCTTTCTACTTTAATCTTAATAATTTTCAAAGTCTTTGTGGATGGTTCAGTCCAAGACAATTCTTTGACTTTAATTCTGATGATCTTTACCTCTACATTAATTCACATATCTGACACATAAAGCCACATCTTGAAATATAGTAAAACCTAATACTACACTACATAGAAAAATATTAAATTCTAATTTATTATGCTATCTTTAACTGCAACAACCTATCGTTCCAACCCTGTAACACTCACAGACCTACCCTTTGACCTTAGGAAAATTTCAGGCCCTGAGCTACTTCATTTCCTTTTAATCTACCTATTTCTTTCTGGATTCACTTTCTTCCTGACCTATATTCTGAGGTTTGTCATTTTGATTACTCTAAATTATTATTACTCTGCCTCTTTTGCCCCTTGCTCTTCTGTAAAAACCCCCTGTAAAATCATAACTTTGGATTGATTAAATGGTTAGGCTTCTTTACTCTTTCAAAAATAAGAACTATAGAAAAAAATTCTGCAATGCAATGTCACTGCCATCTTCAAAATATCCTCTTGACATCATATCACATCCCCTTTTAGTTATATCCAAATTCTGGACTTCTTGAGAAAAATCAAGATTCTTTAAAGAAAAATAAATATTTACTTACCACTTTACTACAAATACATTTCTTGTTTTCTCTCTAAGTTAACAATGCCCTATAAAATAGACCCTTATTTAACTTGTCATTGTTGGCCATTCTTTCCTTAAGGAAGAAATACCTGCATGACTTCTATGACTTTACTTTCTCCTAGATTCCATCCTATCTCTCTATACTTTCCCCCTTAGTTTCCTCTGTGGGCTCATATTTTTCTGCCCATTCCTTAAATATTCATACGCTCCAAGTCTATCATCTTTGGAAATTGCCATCTTTGGAAACTTCCATCCTATCTCTCTATACTTTCCTCCTCAGTTTCCTTTGTGGGCTCATGTTTTTCTGCCCATTCCTTAAATATTCACATTCTCCAAATCTGCTCCATCAGCTCTCTCTTCTTTTTACTATTTACACTCATGAAGTTATTTCAATCACATTTATGGTTTCAATTACCACTTATATATTTAGCCCTAAATTCTTCCCTGATCTCAACTCTTAACTCCAACTGGTTTCTGGAAATCTCACATGTCTTAGAAGAATTTTGAGCTCTACATGTTCTAAAAATGTGCTAGTGATTTTCACACAAAATTGATTCTCAACTGTATTCTCTTTCTAAGTGAATGGCATAAAAATTTTCTCATTCATGGAAGCCAGAAACATAGGAGTCATCCTTGACTACTACTTCTTAATCTCTGTATTCACACTTTCTCTAGGTTCTGCTAATACATATTCTTTTACCTTTGTCACATGCATTTCTGCTGATACTAGTCAATTACAGTATTGTTAAATAATAATGGTTGAAGGCATCATTCTTAGTTTTCAGAAGCATTAGCAGATAAATAGGTCCTCATAAAAGCCAAGATTCCAAAAAATAAAGCAAAACCATGATGCTGGATGCCTTAATTATATAGTTTTTTTTTTGTCTTAGTCCATTTGGGCCACCATAACAAAATACCATAAACTAGGTCACTTATAAACAACAAAAATTTATTTCTCACAGCTCTGGAGGCTGGGCTGTGCAAAATCAAGGTGCCTATAGATATGGTGCTTGATGACGGCTCATTTTCTCATCCAAAGATAGTACCTTCTCACTGTGTTCTCACATGGTAGAAAGGATGAAGGGTCTCTTGGACCTCTTTTATAAAGACACTAATCCCATTCATGAGGGTTCTGCACCCAGGACTTAAGCACCTCCCAAAGGCCCACCTCCTAATACCATCACCTTGAGGACTAGGATTTCAACATATGAAGTTGCGGGGGGAGCAACATAAACATTTAGCCCATGGCAAATTTTAATTAAAAAAAAATGTTAAAGCAGGTGACTCTGACCTTTACTTTTCTACACTATTGCTAAACTATCAGCAGCCTTAAAACCATCCTCCCCTTTAATGGAGTATCTAATTAAATGCTATTATAATACTTCAAAAAAGAGACAGACCTCACATATGATTTTTATTTCGAGGGACAGTGTTTACAATTAGGATGTCCTAGAGTGAGAAGAGTATAGTTTTCGAAGTGAAGATAAGACTTATGAAAATTTACTAAGCATCCTTTTTCCTTATTTATAATAGCAGATAATACTTACTTTGTATATTTTGTATGGTTATATGAAGATTAGGCAAGATAATGAATGTGGAGATGCATAGATACCAAATATTTTTTCTAATTTCTTTCATTTTTGCTATTAATACTTGCCTGAGTATTTTCTACATGTCAGATTGATCACTCTGAGTGCTATTTGAAGGGGAAAGAGCTTCAAAAACATTATTAATTACATGTATGCACAGAGGTACCATGTTAATGCCATATACATTCTTACTAGTGAGGGGCCACTCAAGACTGGAAACATGAACATATTTTAAAAATACCATACAAGCAACTTCAAAAAAATTAACATCGACTATTTCATAGTTGAAAAAAAGAACTCAGTGTATTGAAACTAACATATATTTCATCAGATGACAGAAGACTAACTCTTGGAATTATAATAGGGAACATTGGTGAGAGGATTGGTAATGACAGCTACACAAGGAAAGAATGACATTAATAAAAAAAATTGAAGAGATTTGTTGCTTGTCATCCATAAGAAAGCATTACTTCTAATATAGTTAAAAATGCAATAAATCAACACAAGCCAGGACATTCTCCTGGGAGAGATGGGGAAACTATTGTGAGCAATGTGCTAACTGACCTAGAGAAAAGTGAACCATATTTTGAGCTTTGAAACATAATTCATGGAAGCTTTTTATACCACCATTGGTGGTGAAATTTGCATTCCCTGAAGGCCACATTCATAGGTGACCATTATAGTACATCTTTGTAAAATTTGCGAAGCATTTTAGTGCAGTCTCTTCGGTCTTACAACAAAAGCTTGAGAATTAAAGAAAAATCCTGGGTTACCCCTGCATGAATAGACACATAAGTCAAACCTTTAAAAAAGCATTAAAATAAGAATTATATTCATAATCAGAGAAAATTTTTTTAATTTTTTATGCAATAGCAATGTAATGTTCATATCCTAATGTAACTTAAGATAAAAACTTTTCATGAAGTAAATGATTCTCCAAGGTATCAGAATTTTCAGAAAGGCATAAAAAATCATTTTGGTGTAAATAATGCATAGTTTAATAGCAAAATCATAAAGATACATTTTGTATTTACAGTTTGACAGTTTATTGAAAAAAATTAATCACATCAGTTTATTAAACTGAATAATTATTTAATATACTGTGACTTTATATCATCTGTTTCATCATTCTTATAAATCTGATGACGTATAAGTGGTAAATATGCCTTCAAAGAAAAGAAAATGCTCTAGAGAGAAAAAAAGATGATAAATTGATTTCAGCTACTTCACAGTACAAGAAGAAAGGTAAATCATACTTCATTTTAAAGAAGCTATAATTCTAGAAAACATTTGATTAGACAATTGCAATCAATTTAAGGTTCTAGAAGTTCAGACACTTCTGGTAGTGTTTGAATTATAGGATCATATGTAATTAACCCCTTTGAACTACAGCAATTCCTTTTGATTATGTAACAAGGAGAGTAAGTTTGTGGAAGATTCATCACCTTATGTAAACTTTTTAATGATCAATAATTGGTCAGAGAAAAATGAATTTCCAGTGTTCATTCAGAGTTGTTAAACTGATACTTCTATTTGACTCTCTGCTGCTCCCAGGAGGGTCATTCTGTGCCTTAACAATCTTCCCTGATTAGCTTATGCTTTACATGGGACTCCACCATTCTCCAAGCCACATCTAAAAATAGCCCTATACATAATAAGCTTATTGATGGAGGTAAGACTCTCACAGAGCCATAGGACACTTGCTGCAGATGGTAAATTAAGGCTGGATATGTTTTGCATTCTACTTTTTGTGTCTTGTAATATTATCTGTAATGTGATCATATCTGGATATCACTACTTGTTCTCAGAATTATTGTTTCTTTTTTCTCATAGTCTTGATATTTTACATTTCAAAATTACTATATAGCTAATTGTAAATATGTCTTCTTTATATTTATTTATTTATTTTACTTTAAGTTCCAGAATATATGTGCAGAACATGCAGGTTTGCTACATAGGTATATGTGTGCTATGGTGGTTTGTGGCACCTATCAACCTGTCATCTAGGTTTTAAGCCCCACATGCATTAGTGATTTGTCCTAATGCTCTCCCTCCCCTCACTGCCCATCCCCTGACAGTCCCCAGTGTATGTTGTTTCCCACCCTTTGTCCATGTGTTCTCATTTTTCAACTCCCACTATGAGTGAGAACATGCAGTGTTTGGTTTCCTGTTACTGTATTAGTTTGTGAGGATGATAGCTTCCAGCTTCATCCATGTCCCTGCAAAGGACATGATCTCATTCCTTTTTATGGCTGCATGGGATTCCGTCATGTATATTTACCACATTTTCTTTATCCAGTCTATCATTGATGGGCATTTGGGTTGGTTCCATGTCTTTGCTATTGTAAATAGTGCTGCAATAAATATACTTGCACATGTGTCTTTATATAGTAGAATAATTTATATTCCTTTGGGTATGTACCCAGTAATAAGATTGCTGGGTCAAATAATATTTCTGGTTCTAAATCCTTGAGGAATCACCACACTGTCTTCCACAATGGTTGAACTAATTTACATTCCCACCAACAATGAAAAAGCATTCCTGTTTCTCTGCAGCCTCACCAGCATCTATTGTTTCTTTATTTTTTAATAACTGCCATTATGACTGGTGTGAGATGATATCTCATTGTGGTTTGTATCATCCTGATACCAAAACCTGGCAGAGACACAACAGAAAAAGAAAACTTCAGGCCAATATCGCCGATGAACATCGATGCAAAAATCCTCAATAAAATACTGGCAAACCAAATACAGCAGCACATCAAAAAGCTTATCCACCACGATCAAATTGGCTTCATCCCTGGGATGCAAGGCTGGTTCAACATACACAAATCGATAAACATAATACAGCACATAAACAGAACCAATGACAAAAACCACATGATTATGTCAATAGATGCAGAAAAGGCCTTTGATAAAATTTGACATCCCTTCATGTTAAAAATTCTCAATAATCTAGGTATTGATGGAACATATCTCAAAATAAGAGCTATTTATGACAAACCCACAGCCAATATCATACTGAATGGGCAAAAGCTGAAAACATTCCTTTTGAAAACCAACATAGTATTGGAAATTCTGTCCAGGGCAATCAGGCCAGAGAAAGAAATCAAGGGTATTCAAATAGGAAGTGAGGAAGTCAAATTGCCTCTGTTTGCAGACGACATGATTCTATATTTAGAAAACCCTATCATCTCAGCCCAAAAACTCCTTAGGCTGATAAGCTGCTTTGGCAATGTTGCAGGATAGAAAATCAATATGCAAAAATGACAAGCATTCTTATACACCAACAATAGACAAGCAGAGAGCCAAATCATTAATGAGCTCCCATTTACAATTGTTACAAAGAGAATAAAATACCTAAGAATACAGCTAATGAGGAACCTGAAGGACCTCTTCAAGGAGAACTACAAACCACTGTTCAAGGAAATAAGAGAGGACACAAACCAATGGAAAAACATTCCATCCTCATGGATAGGAAGAATCAATATTGTGAAAATGGCCATACTGCCCATAGTAATTTATAGATTCAATGCTATTTCCATCAAACTACCACTGACATTCTTCACAGATCTAGAGAAAACTAATTTAAATTTCATATGGAACCCAAAAAGAGCCCATATAGCCAAGACAATACTAAGCAAAAAGAACAAAGCTGGAGGCATCAGACTAACTGACTTCAAACTATACTACAAGGCTACAGTAATTAAAACAGCATGGTACTGGTACCAAAACAGACATATAGACCAATGGAACAGAGCAGAGACCTCAGAAATAATACCACACATCTACAGCTATCTGATCTTTGACAAACCTGACTAAAACAAGCAATGGGGAAAGGATTCCCTATTTAATAAATAGTGCTGGGAAAACTGACTAGCCATATGCAGAAAACTGAAACTGGACCCCTTCTTTACACCTTATACAAAAATTAACTCAAGATGGATTAAAGGCTTTTAAACTTCAAACCATAAACACCCTAGAAGAAAACCTAGGTAATACCATTCAGGACATAGGCATGGGCAAAGATTTCATGATGAAAATGCCAAAAGCAATCACAACAAAAGCCAAAATTGACAAATGGGATCTAATTAAACTGAAGAGCTTCTGCACAGCAAAAGAAACTATCATCAGAGTGAACAGGCAGCCTACAGAGTGGGAGAACGTTTTTGCAATCTACCCATCTGACGAAGGTCTGATATCTAGAATCTACAAGGAACTTAAACAAATTTACAAGAAAAAAAAACAACCCCATCAAAAAGTGGGCAAGAGACATAAACAGACACTTTTCAAAAAAAGGCATTTATGTAGCCAACAAACATGAAAAAAAGCTCAACATCACTGATCATTAGAGAAATGCAAATCTAAACCTTTATATTTAATTAAGAAGTAAGCTGAGCTGTCTAATAATAGACAATGACATTTTTTTCACCAAGAATGAGAAGAACAAATATGCTTTTCTTTAAAAAAGCTATCTTGAATTCAACTTCTAATTTATTGTTTTACTCAGTTATATTTTGGCGCGCGCGCGAGAGAGCTCTTTAGAATTTCTCTTACAAATCTCAGATCAATAATGTGATACTTATTCAAATTCATAAGCGTTTTAGAAAAGCCTCTCATGAATTAGATGTATATGCTTCCTGTATCCTTTACCAAATAACAGTTTTTAGAATTTCTTTTTGTACTCCATATTTACTTAAATACGAACCTATATTTATATTTACGAAGTTGAAGCTTAGATCTTAAAATAATTGAATCTGGAAAGAGCCATTTGGGAAGTGGTAAATGGTTTCTAAATTTCAAAGCTAAAGAGGGAATGTAGTCTGGGGATTAAACCTCTTTTCTTATGGGAGGGACCAGGTTTTTTGTGAGCAGTTTTAACCAGCCAGATATAAAGCAGATATCTAAGTCATGGTACTTGGGAAACCCAGAACCAGAGAAGTAATTCAAATACAGATGCCCCGGATCAAAATGTTAAATTGAGTGTACACTTATTAAGGGCATGCCCTTGAAGAATCCAATATATTTTCCCCTAAATGTGGCTTTTGGCTAGACTCCCTTTGAAAATTAATATCTGTCACTGATAGATGGTCTAGTCCCTCTCACTCTTTTCCTTCTTTACTCCACATGTTCGTTCACTGGTGATCAGAAGATTGCAAAAAACATGTAAACATAATCTTAAAATAGAGAAAAGAGTGTGAAGAGGAACTGGTTGTGACTTTCATGTGATGGTTTCCAACCTTGGGAAACATACCCTTCCCTATTATGATAGCTTTTTTCTGGATGCACCCCCCGCCCCCTTGACTATCATTTGGGCAGGCAGGAGGCAGACCCACCTTGCATGGAGGTGTTAGATTGTGGAGAACAGGCCTCCGTGGTCTAGATGAACTTCAGTTGGGAAGTGGTAGGTTGGTATCTATAATATGATGGCAGGTAAAAGACTAAGGAACACTAGTTGAGGGGCTAAGGAAAACGGGTGAGCCCCTGTGAAGGAACTAATGGAAAGTTATGTTTTTCTTTCCTGCATTATAATGACCTTCCATTTGCCTATGGCTTCCTCTTGGTAGTCTTTGGGAGTCTAAGGGAAGGTTACCTACATCCTTGAGAAGAAACAACCCAGAGAAAGTAATGGTATCACATGTGTGCTTTTCTCAGTGAGTCTGCAGTGGTGGGGAAAACTGTGGAACAAAGGGTGGGCACTTAAACTACTGCTATTTATGTAAAAAGGAAGAATGACTTCCTAAGGCTGGAGAAAATGGGAAGCAATTGGATGACATTCAGATTTGAAGAATGCGTGCCCATTATCATTATCACCATTGTCACCAATGACAATGTTGCCTGAAATTTGTGGAGCGTAGTGTATTTTTGAAAGTACTTTGCCCTAGAATCATCTAATTGGCTTTTTAGTTAAAACTTTTACTGTAGATATAGCTGGGAAAACTCTGTTTCATAAGAAATCTGTCTAACCATAAAATAAGACACCCCAATTTAAGACACTGGGAAATTTCAGAAGCCAAAAAACATATATAATAATAGTGTATAGTTTGTGAGTCTATACTATGGGAAAGAACTTTTTTTAATATTTATCTTTTTATTTATTTGCTCATGTATACATACATACATATAAAATAGACAGATATATATATACATGCAATACACAAATATACATACAAAAATACACAAATACAAAATACACTTATTTTCTCATCTAATCCTCCCAACGACCCTATAAGATAGAAACTGTAATTACGTTCATTGAATAGATACGGAAACAGAGACATAAATAGATGAAATAAGTTACTTTAAGAGGTAGAGGGGGATTTGTTTGTTTTTTTTTATTATGCTTTAAGTTCTAGGGTACATGTGCACAGCATGCAGGTTTGTTACATATGTATACATGTGCCATGTTGGTGTGCTGCACCCATTAATTCGTCATTTACATTAGGTATATCTCCTAATGCTATCCTTCCCCCCTCCCCCGACCCCACGACAGGCCCCAGTGTGTGATGTTCCCCTTCCTGTGTCCAAGTATTCTCATTGTTCAATTCCCACCTATGAGTGAGAACATGCAGTGTTTGGTTTTTTGTCCTTGTGATAGTTTGCTGAGAATGATGGTTTCTAGCTTCATCCGTGTCCCTACAAAGGACATGAACTCATCCTTTTTAGTGGCTGCATAGTATTCCATGATGTATATGTGCCACATTTTCTTAATCCAGTCTATCACTGATGGACATTTGGGTTGGTTCCAAATATGTTTATTGCTATTGTGAATAGTGCCGCAGTAAACATATGTGTGCATGTGTCTTTATAGCAGCATGATTTATAATCCTTTGGGTATATACCCAGTAATGGGATGGCTGGGTCAAATGGTATTTCTAGTTCTAGATCCTTGAGGAATTGCCACACTGTCTTCCACAATGGTTGAACTAGTTTACAGTCCCACCAACAGTGTAAAAGTGTTCCTATTTCTACACATCCTCTCTAGCACCTGTTTCCTGACTTTTCAATGATCGCCATTCGAACTGGTGTGAGATGGTATCTCATTGTGGTTTTGATTTGCATTTCTCCGATGGCCAGTGATGATGAGCATTTTTTCATGTGTCTGTTGGCTGCATAAATGTCTTCTTTTGAGAAGTGTCTGTTCATATCCTTCACCCACTTTGTGATGGGGTTGTTTATTTTTTTCTTGTAAGTTTGTTTGAGTTCTTTGTAGATTCTAGATATTAGCCCTTTGTCAGATGAGTAGATTGTAAAAATTTTCTCCCATTCTGTAGGTTGCCTGTTCACTTGATGGTAGTTTCTTTTGCTGTGCAGAAGCTCTTTAGTTTAATTAGCTCCCATTTGTCATTTTTGGCTTTTGTTGCCATTGCTTTTGGTGTTTTCGACATGAAGTCTTCACAGAATTGTAAAAAACTACTTTAAAGTTCATATGGAAGCAAAAAAGAGCCCACGATGCCAAGACAATCCTACGACAAAAGAACAAAGCTGGAGGCATCACGCTACTTGACTTCAAACTATACTACAAGGCTACAGTAACCAAAACAGCATGGTACTAGTACCAACACAGAGATATAGACCAATGGAACAGAAAAGAGCCCTCAGAAATAATACCACACATCTACAACCATCTGACCTTTGAAAAACCTGACAAAAACAAGAAATGGGGAAACTATTCCCTATTTAATCAATGGTGCTGGGAAAACTGGCTAGCCATATGTAGAAAGCTGAAACTGGATCCCTTCCTTACACCTTATACAAAAATTAATTCGAGATGGATTAAAGACTTAAATATTAGACCTAAAACCATAAAAACCCTAGAAGAAAACCTAGGCAATACCATTGAGGACATACGCATGGGCAAGGACTTCATGTCTGAGAGGTAGAGGGGGATTTGAATCCAGACCATTGAATTGCAGGTATGTCTTGCTTAGCCTCTGCCACGTAGGACAATGGTTTGCTCATGCTCTCAGGCAGTTTCAGAAATAGTTCCCATGTATTAAGAATTGGTTGAAAAATACTGAGATAATCTCTAAGTTGTATTACAAGGGAAAACCCTTCCCACTTGTTTTATATGCATCATATTTACAGTCAGTCAGTATTTATATTTGTAAGTGGGGATACATTTAAATGCAATGTCATACACTTCGAAAGTGCAATATATTTTTGTTACTTGGTTAAAATTCATCACAGAAGTCATTTTTCTCCCAAGAAATGTCTGAGTACATTAGCTTAAAAGATGATATTGGCAAGCTGATAGCATGCATATTTCAAATAGAATGTTCAACTGTATTTAATGTGTATTTGTGAGAAATATCTGTGTATTCATGGAGTTTATGAAGAGCTAAGCTTGCTTATCACTTGCTTCCCAATAGTGAACTGTTCCTTCTTTGCAAATCATCAGTCACCTAACAGAAGAAAGGGGAAAAAAGACTATTTTATAATTAAAGGTTTCTAATATGTAAACACTGCCCCATAAATGAAACAGAATTTACCTTTATTAGGTACAGACCTTATGTTGTAAGTGAGATATTTGACTGAAAAGAGAGAAAAAAAATTACATTTTGTTGTACTACTCTGCCTTGATTACATAATGGAAGCTCAAGTCATGATTGAAAAGGTTTTAAATGTTAAGGGACATCATCTTATTCTTTAGGTATTAACAGTGAATACTGTTATAAGCTTTGAATAGCTGAACGACTGACTTGAAATGGGCTTGGAAATGCACCAGAAGTTTATGCAGGTTTGATAATTAAAGAAGCCAATAGGAAAAACTACAGAAAAGGCAAAAAAGGAGCAGGAGAAAGAGAAGTTGAGTATGATGCATTACATGAGCAGACATTAAAATTAAATAAAGTGGAGGTGCCCTGATTTAAATTTATTAAGGAAAACAGAAATAACTGCTAGTTATATTACATAATTGACCATAAAAATGTAGCTATTGAAAGCTGCTTATCCATTAAGAATGCAATAAATGATATCTGCAACCCAGGTGGCATGGGAGTGAGGAGCCCAGAAACAAATAGGAAAAGTGAGATAATACTACTTATGGTGCTGCCCGATGCTACAAGGCAGGAGAACCCATGGATAGTGGGAAGTATTTTGTTAAGTAGTGAGCGTAAGTCCCCTATGAAAGATTATTTGAATCTTTCTGTTAATACTCAGCAGCCATTAAATGGAAAGAGGCAACAAGAACTAAATCAGTTTAACAAGGCAATCACCAGGACCCTTGGGAAGCAGGCTTGTAAGTGGACTGTTTGCAGATGTAGAAACTTTTACAGGAGAAGGTGAAGGTGCCTGATGAATGTTCTGGGTTCTAGTGTCTTAAAATGTAAAAGCAGTCTTTTTCATTGTGTGTACCAGGATCAACTGCAATGTTTGTAACAAATGTTGATTCTCTGTTCTCAAACTAGACATACTGAAACAGAATTCCTCGGAGCCTACATTCATTTTTTAAAAAAAATCTTTCTAAGTGATTGTTATGCCCATTAAGTAACAATCATCTTATTAAGGAATGATTAGATAGAAGGAATCTTACAAAATAGAATTCTGAGTGTGATAGTAAATCTGTTGCAAGAGAGGAATGGAATATTCAGGGAAGAGAGGATAGGAAACTCTATCCTTGGACCTCTGAAATAGATAGGAGATTTTTTTCCATTAATAGTAACTTACAGCATCTTGAAAAAGATTCATTGCTACCTAACCATAGGAGGTTTCAGGCAAGAAGGCCTGGAACTACAGGTGGGAGGGGTCCTGTCAACACTAGAAGGCATAGAGGTTGGTGATGACTTCACACCAAGAGGTTGCAAAGATATAACGTGACAGCTATGCATAGCAATACTTCAGTGACTGCATTCCTCAACTTGTATTTTTTTAATGTGAATGAAATTTTGGTAAATCTCTTACATTTCTGAGTACTACTCATTTCTGCTGAAACAACTGGGAATGCCTCTTACATTGAGATAAAATCTCTGATAGAACTCTAGACATTGAATATTCTGAAAGAAAAATTCTAGGATTGTCTGGGTATGGGGAGAAAGGAGGTACCAGTGACAATTTCAGTTCTTCTGGTTGGTGATTACAATATTTGTGAAGAATAAAACTGTGAAAAGTAAACAGTAGGGAATGTGGATGGTACTGAATGAAATAAAATGAGTTCCTGGTATGGGTTCAGCATATACTTGGTAAAAACAATGAAAAGTATGTTTGGAAGAACTTTAAAAGACCCTATCTCTTGCTTTTAATCTGAATTCGATGGATAGAAGTAAAATTCTGGATAAAACAGCCATACAAGATTGCAAATAGAGGACAAAAATGAGAATCAGGAGTTGGGTGCTGTGGTGTATACCTGTAATCCTAGCAACTCAGGAGGCTGAGGCAGGAAGATAGCTTGAACCCAGGGGGTCCAGGCTGCGATGAGCTATGTTTGCACTACTGCATTCCAGCCTGCAAGACAGAGTAAGATCCTGTCTTGAAAGAAAGAAAGAGAGAGAAAGTAAGAAAGAATGAAAGTAAAGAAGAAATAAAGAAGAGTCAGGTCAAGAAGAAACATGGCAGGAAAATTTTTTCATAATTTTAGATGGGAGTAATAGGGAGATAATATTTCTGGTTTCAGATACCTGTGTATTAAAGGCACCCAGTATAAGTGATTACCAAAGTAAATGGAACTTTTTATACATGAATGCAAACTGTTACGATAGGCATAGCCAAGACTTCATTTGAGACTCAACAAATATAATATGGCATTAAAAGGAACAATTTGATCAAAGATCTCAAGTCCAATCAAAACGAAGAGGAAATAGTTTTGTAACATATGAATACATGACTCCCAATACAGATCACAAAACTGCTATGCAGCTCAGCTATAAATAGGGAATTCAGAAAATATAATGAATCTTGTTAACATTCTTCCTTCAAAGTAAAGAAAATTTTAATTTTTGACTGATACATTTACTGTTAAGATATTGGGGCTGGGCGTGGGGGCTCATGCCTGTAATCCCAGCACTTTGGGAGGCCAAGGCAGGCAGATCACGAGATCAAGAGACTGAGAGCATCCTAGCCAACATGGTGAAACCCTGTCTCTACTAAAAATGCAAAAATTAGCTGGGCATGCTGGTGCACGCCTGTAGTCCCAGTTACTCGGGAGGCTGAGGTAGGAGAATCGCTTGAATCCGAGAGGCAGAGGTTTCAGTGAGCTGAGGTCGCGCCACGGCACTCTAGCCTGGTGAAAGAGTGAGACTCTGTCTCAAAGAAAAAAAAAAAGATATTGGTGTATCTTTTTCCAGAATGTTTCTTACACACTTTACATTGTGATTTAATGGTAGATAAGAGTTTTACACTGCATGTTTCATTAATATTACATAACAAGAATTTTTGTATTATTAGAATTTTTGACAAATGATATTGGATAACCCATAAATGCATTTAATCACGTTGTTGTGCATTTATGTTCTTTTGAATTTTTTTCCTACTATACAGCTGTGGTGAAGGGGCTTCATTAAGACAGAATTCTGGAAAAGTAATTCGGGGTCAAATGTTAGAAACACTTTTTTAGTTTCTAGAAACAATTTGGACATCATTTTTCAGAAATGTTCCAATGGACAGACTTAGCAGTTTGTGTTAATCTCAGTGTACTTCCATGTGTACTAAATCTTATAATATTAGTAATAATTATTATTTTACCAGTTTTAAGAGGCAAAATGGTAGGTGACTATAGTTTCAATGTGTACCTTTTCATTAGTGTTGCAGTTGAAATATTTATGTTTATTAACTATTTATCTACATTCATGTATATGTGTATAAAATTATTTCTTGTACCTATTTAACCATCAAAGACTTGTTTTTTACCTCTTCTCTACTTATATGTACTCATCGTGTAGCTAAGTCTCAGTCTATGGTTTGTTACCCAGTTTAGTTCATAGTGTCCTTTGGAACCTCTAGGATATTGATAGGGAGTAGCCCCTAACTTTGGTGTTGAGCTGTTGTATATTTCCTAATTTTTAACTATTATGTTGGCCATCATATGACAATTTTAGGGGAAGGCATGAAAGCTATATATTTGCATACACACAGTTGCCTCATCCAACAGTGGGTTCTTGATATATTGTTGAGTTTTCTATGTGGGCCTCCAAAGATTGTATTTTCTTCATTAGAGAAATTTTGCATCCTGAACGATAGAGGAGTCTCATCTGGATCTGATCTTTGGGGATTTTTGTAAGCTCTACTTGGCACCCTAAAGCACTTCTCTCAAACCTCTCATGTCACATTTGTGAACCCTGAAAACAAAGCTCCTACATTTAGCAGGAAAAACTTTAAACAAAAGATTCTTACAGGCCAGGAATGGTAGCCCATGCTTATAATCCAGCATTTTGGGGGGCCAAGGCAGGAGGATTGCTTGAGCTCAGGAGTACAAATTTTTTTTTTAATTAGCTGGACATGGTTGCATGCCCTGTATTACCAGGTACTTGGGAGGCTGAGGCAAGAGGATCACTTGAGCCCAGGAAGTCAAGGCTGTAGTGAGCCATGATCTCACTACTGCACTCTAGCCTGGGTGACAGAGTGAGACCCTGTCTCTAAAAATAAAAATAAAAAAATTCTTATAGACATCATTACATACTGGATAGTTAGATAGTTCTTTGAATGTTTTTTGTTATTCTTGTTTTATTTTTATCAGTGCTCAGTAATTTTTCAAATTCACACTCTGATTTGATAAACAGATATTCTTAATCAATGTGTTTGAGTTAACCAGCTGCTTCAAAGAACTGAATATTTTTGGATTAGATTTGATAGACACTGGGATTTTTTTTTCTTTTAACAAAGTAAATTTTGTTGAGTATGTAATTACCTGATTGTTTCTGGTTTGCTACACAGAGAAAACCAATTCTCTGAAACAGTGGTACTGCAGTAGAGAAATAGTTTAATTATTACAGGGCTAGCGCAGCAAGAGATGGGAGTTTATTCCTCAAATCAGCCTTCTCAGGAACTCGGAGGCAAGGGTTTTTATGGATAATTTCGTGGGCAGAGGTCTTAGGGAATGGGTAATGCTTACTGATTGGGGATGAAACCATAGGGGTGTGGAAAACAGTCCTTGTGTGCTGAGCCAGCCTCTGGGTTGGGGCCACAGAACCATTTGAGCCACAAATCAAGGGGCTGGGTAGAGTCAGTTGGTCACCAGAATGCAAAAGTCTGAATAGTATCTCAAAAGAACAATTTTAAGCCTCTACAATAGCGATGTTATCTATAGAAGCAATTGGAGAAGTCACAAATCTTGTGACCTCTGGCCACATGACTCCCAAGCAGCAAGGAATTATAGAAAAGCAAGCTAGGGAACAATGTCTGGTTATTGTTTACTCTGACATTTTAGCAGAATTCAGGCCCCTCCCATAATCCTAATCTCATGGCCTTTCATTAGTTTCACAAAGGGGTTGCAGTCCCTGAGCAAGCAGGGGGTTAGTTTTAAGGAAGGACTATTATCATCCTTGCTTCAAAGTTAAACTATAAACTAAGTTCCTCTCATGGTTAGCTTGGCCTATGCCCAGGAATGAGTGAGCACAGTCAGGCTGTGAGGCTAGAAGCAAGATAGAGTAAGCCATGCCAGACTTCTCTCACTGTCATAATTTTTGCAAAGGTGGTTTCAGGTATACGACCAAGGTTCTATCCATTATACATGCTATGAATAACTTTATGCAAAAATACCCAAAGGGAGTAACTGTAAGAACTTCTTTCTTTCTTATTTCATATGGTGAAAAAAGTTTTTATATATTTTGCATATTATCCCCTCATCTGATATATGGTTTGCAAGCATATATATTCTCCCATTCCATAGGTTGTCTCTTCAATCTATTGGTTGTTTCATTTGCTATGCAGAAGCTTTTAAAGTTGATTAAATCTCATTTGTCTATTTTTGCTTTTGTTGCCTGTCCTTTTGGGGTCATAATAAAAAAAATCATTGCTTATAATACTGTCATGGAGATTTCCTCCTATGTTTTATTCTAGTAGTTTTACAGTTTCAAGTTTTATGTTTAAGTCTTTAATCCATTTTCAGTTGATTTTTGTATGTGGTATGAGACAAAAGTTTAATTTCATTCTGCTTGTCCATATACAGTTTTCCCAGCATCATTTATTGAAGACTATTCTTTCCTCATTGTGTGTTCTTGGCACCTTTGTCGAAAATTAACTGACCATGTGTGGGTTTATTTCTAGGTGGTTCTCTCTCTCTCTCTCTCTTTTTTTTTTTTTTAAGACATTGTCTTGCTCTGTCATCCAGGCTGGAGTGCAGTGGCATGATTATGGCTCACTGCAGCCTCAACTTTCCAGGCTCAAGTGATCCTCCTGCCTCACCCTCCAGACTAGCTAGGACTATAGGTGTGTGCTCCATGCCCAACTATTTTTAAAATCTTTTTTTTTTGTAGAGATAGGGTCTAACTATTTTGCCCAGGATGCTCTTGAATTTCCAGGCTCAAGCAATCCTCCTACCTTGGCCTCCCAAAGTACTGGGATTACAGATGTGAGCTTCTGAACCTGGTCTCTTTTATTTTTTAAGTGTTAGCTAGGAATATATGTTGGTTTCCAAATAATTTCCTTTCCATATTTTTACTATTTATTTCTATATTTGTTGAATCATGATTAGAAAACATGACCTCTGCATTTTAAATTTGTTAAACTTTTCTTTGTGAATAAATTCATATTGATTTTAATAAGTATTCCATATGTATACAAAACTTATTTATTATTTGTTCCAGAGATGTGAATATGTATGTTTATTAAATTTTTTTCTTAATTGTACTAGTTTTGTATTTTAAACTCCTCCATGCTCTTTTTTTAGCTTACTAAAATTGTTTAATTCTGAATAAAGCATATTGAAGACTCCAACTATGCTTTTATCCGGTTCTCCTGGAATATCTTGAATATTTGCATTTTCTAGTTAGCTTCTATTAGTATGTGCCATACAGGTTTATTGCTATTATGTTGTCTTCAAAATGTTGCCTTTTTTATTACAAGTATTTTTCTGAGTACTTTATTTTTTATTTTTATTTTTGAGACAGGGTCTTGGTCTGTCACCCAGACTAGAGTGCAGTGGCATAATCTCAGCTCACTGCAGCGTCAACCTCCCCGGCTCAAGAAATCCTTCCACCTCAGCCTCCCTAGTAGCTGGGACTATAGGGGCATACCACCATGGCCAGCTAATTTTGTTTATTTTTTGTAGAGACAAAGTCTCACAATGTTGCTCAGGATGGTCTCAAACTCCTGGACTCAAGTGATCCTCCTGCCTTGGCCTCCCAAAATGTTGAGGATTACAGGCATGAACCACTGTGCCTGGCCTGAATATCTTATTTTGTTTTAAGCTCTTGCATCACATATTTCTGGATGGTCCATTATCATCTATTCCAATTATGTATATTAATTGTAAGGTTCATTGCTAAACACTGTTTTAGGTCTTCTTTATTTTCCTCTATTGTGAAGTCTTGGTTTTGCTTAATTTATGTTAGGTTAAGAACTTATGCAAGTATTTCCTTAAGATCTTTTATGTGGGTCACACCCTCTCAGACTTCTACATTCTCAAATACCTACTTATACCCTGACAGATGAATGGCATCTTGGCTGTCTACAGGATTGCTGAATTAAATTCTGTTTTCTTAGCAGTGATTCCAATATTTCTAGATTTTAGTGTAACAAGTGATACAGTGTCAATATGAAATTTATTTATTTGAAGTTAACTTCTCTCTAAATACTTGTAAGTTTTTCTCTTGACTCTTTAACTTCACAGATTTTACCATACTACATTGATTATGTTTCTTTTATCATCAATCAGGACTGAGAAACCTATAAACTCAGTCTGTTTTCAATGTAGTGATTGTATCCTTCTTTTGTTTATTTACTGCCTGTTTGCCATTACTTTATTTTTTTCTAACACTGTAATAGCCACATTTCAGGATTCTTGGACTTATCCTTCAGGTCTTTTTAATTTTCTAAGATGAGTCCATCATTTTACATTTTTAGATATTTCTTTCATTTTTTTCCTTTTGGCTCTATACGTGGTTCAATGGTGGACATATTTAATTTACTAAATTGTGTAGTGGAGAAGTCATGTTTCTTTTTTATGCAACGGAAACCCCTTAGTATTATAATTTGCTCATCTTGCTGTCTTTCTCCTTATAGTAGTAGAATTCTAAGATGGTCCCTGTGACAGTTGATTTTGGATGTCAACTTGACTGGATTAAGTGATACCCAGATAACTGATTGTCAATGTTTTCTTAGACATGGAGTCGATTCCTCTTCTGGTAAGAAAGAAACCCAGTTGGTTTGGCATTTGGTTAGAAAAATTGAGCTGCACTCGGTGTGTCTGTGAGGGTATTTATGAAAAAACTGGCATTTGAGTTGGCAGACTGAGTGGGGAAGATTCTCCCTCAATGTGAATGAGCACCATCCGGTCAACTGGGGGCCCAGAAGGAACAAACAAGGAGAGTGAGCGTGAATTGGGGTTCTCTTTTCTTGAGGCAGGATACCCTTCTTCTCTTTCCCTTAGATGTCAAAGCTCCAGGTTCTCTGGCCATTGTATTCCAGGACTCCCACCAGTGGCCTCCCAGGCTGTTGGAACTTTGACCTCAGACCGAGGGTCACACCATCAGTTTCCCTGGTTTTAAGGCCTTTGGCCTTGGACTGAGCCACACTACCAGTTTCCCTGGTTCTCCAGCTTGCAGAGGACCTATGGTGGGACTTCTCATCCTCTATAATCATGTGAGCCAATTCCCCTCCTCATTTCTCTCTCTCTCTCTCTCTCTCTTTAGAATGCTTACCCATTCTAAGTATAAGAAAACTGAAGCTCAAAGATGTAGGAACTGTGCTGAAACTCACACAGAGACAGAGAGAGAGAGAAAGAGATATATGTGTATGTGTATGTATGTGTGTGTATGTATATATATATATAAAATCTCCTATTGGTTCTGTCTCTCTGGAGAATCCTGACTAAAACAGTCTCTAAAACAGCCCTTGGTGTGTATACCCAGGACAATCCCCTTACCTTTGTGGGTGTGTGCCTGTGAATATAGTGGCATAGTTACACCCTTGATCGGATTATGGTCTATGAGAACTGTGATGACAAAGTGACTTCCAAGATTATGTTACATTATTCTTCTGCTGGCCTTACAGAAGTAAATGGCCAGGTTATGAGAGGGCTATGTGGCTAGGATTTGAGATTATTATATAGGAGCTGAGAGTGACTCCCAGCCAACAACCAACAAGAAAATAAGTGAAACAACTTCAAGGAACTAAATTCTGACAACCACCTGAACAAGCTAGGTAGAGGGCCCTGAACTTCAAATGAGCTTATATCCTTGGCTGACACTCTGAAATCAGTCTGGTGAGATACTCACCAGCTACTCAGGGAAAGAGTAACTCTCCAAGAGATGGCTTACAGCTTATATAGCATCTTCATCAGAGAACAATAAAGTTTAGAGGTGTGACAAGACAAAGGAAAAGAACCTTGAGGCTCCAGGGGCAGCAAATTGTGGGAAGGCAAATATATGTGGGAAAATAATGGTGGACAAAGGCTAGTTAGTAAAGTTTGTTGTGTAGATTTTGCCAGTGCTGTCTCTAGGCTGGTAAAGGTCTAAAGTCTGATGATTATATTTGTCCTTCCTTTCAGAGATGGGAGGAGAAATATACTCATAAATTTATACCCTGTTTTTAGGCAAATAGGGAGAGGAGAGAGAGGTGTTCTTGTATCTGCTTCTTTTCAATTGTCTCCAGCTCAAAGGAATCCTTATGCCAAAGTGGCACATTTTGGGGTAGCATATTGTTACTTCATTCTGAGATGGGAATCTTAGTTTTTCAGAAAAGATACTGCTGTTAGTCTAAAAAAAAGCAACATAATATATGTATGTTTACATGTGTATACATTAGTTAAAGAGCATGAATTTTTGGCTCAGATTGCCCAAATTTCTCCACCTACCGAGTATGTGACCTTGGTAAATTACATAATCCTTTAGTGCCTTGGCTTACATATTGATGCAATAAAGAAAATAGGATCCACTTTACAGGTTATCAGGAGGATTAAATGAGTTAACATATGTAAAGTACTTAGAACAAGAACTAGCACATGTACAAGTTCACCAAATATTGTCATTATTAGAGAACATAAACTAAGATATTACAAAAAAAGATGCATTCAGTCATTGGTTAATTATATCTTATTTGTTATGTACAAATCATTGTTCTTAATGACAGAATATTAAGTTTTATGGGAGAGTGGTTTATTGGATATGTTGTGATTATCACTATTGTTTATTTCTTCATAATGTGACTGATAAAGAACAAGTATTTGTAATAAAAGAAGTGTCAGTTTTTCCATTTCCTTGGTGTTTCCTTGTGCTTTCATTATCACTGTTACTTCAATCCTTGATATGTTGGCAAGTTGTTCTTTCAGGTTGTTAAAAGGTTATTATAGATAACTCTACCGAGCACTTCTATTCAAGGCACATACTAGATGCTTCAATTGCTATGTCATTTAATTCTATTGGTAGTTTTGATAGTTGTTTGGGGAAGGGTGTAAAGCAAGTTTACCATGCACTGATTACTACTTCAGCCCGCTGCATCTTGGACTGCAGTTTCTACTACTTACCTGAAACGAGTGAGACAGAACACTGGCCCACACAACAAATTACATGAAGCTGGTTAATTACTTAGAGATAGGCAGAAAGGGACAGTAGAAACCTATGAGTCAGGGCAAGTGGGCTCCCCAAGCCTCAAAAGAGCTGCCCAGGATTAAATGGAATTTCATTTGTGTGAGTCCTACTTGCACGGCAGATGAGGAACCCAGTAAAGCAGCCCACTCTGGGTTTTATACCTAAAAGGCACCATGGCTTGCTGGACTTAAAGCATTGAAGGGCATCATGTTTCTAAAAGCGACTGTACCAGAGTCCAGGATGTCCTGGCCAGTTCCTCCTTATATCAGTATGTAGCATTCCCTGCATATTTTATAGTTATTTTTGAGAACTACAAGCAAGAAGAAGTGAGAATAAGTTGCTCCAAGACCACCTGAAGCACTGTCCTGCATAGCTATGCTTACCTATTCTAAATATAAGAAAACTGAAGCTCAAAGTTGCAGGAACTATGCTGAAACACACAGATTTAGTAAGCACTAGATGTTAGATCCAAAGCCACACCTTTCTGGCCACGGATTCTTTCCTCTTTAGCATGACATTATATCAGATGATTTCCATAGTTTTCATAGCAAATGGAAATGGCTAGAACTATGTGATAATTATGTTTCTACCCCTACTGCCTGGTACAGTGTATGTCTCATAATACATATTTGTAAAAAAAAAAAAAAAAAAACAGAAGGTAAAAAAGAGGAATGAAGGTGATTAAACTCTGAGATAGTGTTAGGTGGCAAGTTACCAGGGATCTTGAGAGAGCATGAAGATTAGTAATTTGGAAAATCAGAGGGTAGTAAGATTGGTAACAATGAGCTTCTAACTGAAATGCCTAAGGTTGCTAACTATGTCATTTAAATTTGAGGCTGTTTTTTCCTTCATGATAATTTGGTTCTTTGGTCCTTCCCCAAACCTTCTCAAGTCATTTATTTAAGTAGTACACAGAGATTTTGCAATATCTTTTTCATTTCCAAAGGCATTGTATTTCAAAAAACTGTCACCATTAAAAAAAAAAATTACCCGTTGGGTCATCTAGTCAACCTTAAGAAGTTGCTAGTACAAGGAGTTGGCATAGAAATTCACATTTCCTCTCTCAATTGAGGGTTGGAGGCGGGGGCGGGGGGCGGTGGGGAACCCAGAGGTCTAGGGATTCTTTATTTATTCAAGAAACATTTATTAATAAGCAACTATTATGTATGTACCAGGCATGTTACTAGGTAGAAAGCTTTTGGCAGAGCCCCTGCTCCGGGAAGCACACAATCTCTAGGAAACACAGCTACTGAACAAGCAATTGAGTGTGATATGGAAGTACACACATGCCAGGAGGGTAAAAAAAAATTACTATGAAGATGGGGTAGAAAAACATTCCAGGTAAAAAATAAAAGCATATGCAATTGTAAAAAAAATAAAATTATCCAGAAGCTCAAAGAAGGTCAAATGTAAAAATCTGGGGGGCGAGTGTCAAGAAGTAATGCTGGAGCAAGGGAAATGGGAAAGCATTGAAGAGTTGAAGTTGGGGAATGACGTAATCAGATTTATTTTTCTTGGGCTAGAAAATGGAGAGTGGATCACAGAGGAATCAGAATGGAGGGGGAAGTCAACTAGAACACTTGCCATACACTAGGCAAAAGATTAACTTGAATTAGCATGAGGAAGGGGAGATGGACATAAATGGATGGCTTCAGGAGACACTCAGGAGATACAGATGATTGTTGGGATCTTGTAAACCAGGAGAAGGAGGAGTCAGAGATGATCTTGAAGTTCTAGTTTAAGAATGCTGGAAAAGGGGTAAGTTTAAGGGGAAAACATGATGAGATCAGTTTTGAATATGTTGACTTAAACTGCCTCTAAAATATTCAAATAGATAGGTAACGTGGACAGCTGGGAATATGGAAATATGAGTGTGGAGCTCAATTTGGGATTTAGCACCATATAGATATAATTGAAGGCATGGGGATAAACTGGAGAGAGTATGAATTGAGAAGAGAGAAGAAAGTAGGGTTAGAACTCTGATTAGGTAGAGGAAGATGTACCAGGGAAGAGAAAGGACATTAAAAATGGAGAGTATTCTAAGAAGAAACAATATGGTTAGTAGTATCAATATTTCTAAGCAGTCAAAAAAGATAATTTAAAAGTTTCTACTGGATTTAATAACATTAAGTCACTCATGGTTTTAGCAGAAATTTAGTAGAATTGGGGAATTGGGGGTGGCTAATGCCAGACGACAGTGGGCTCACACTTGAGTTGAACATGAGGAAATGAAGGGAATTAAAGTAGAAATTCGACTAAGAAGAAGAGGTGGGGGACAGTAATCACTAGATAGAAAGGGGGGATTAGTGGAGGCTTTAAATTATGTTTTATTTTTTATAAATTGCAAGAGGTTGAAACATACGTAAGTTCTGATAAGCAGAAAGAAAAGAGGAAAATATGGTTCTCTGAGTCTTCAAGATCACACAGCCATTTACTGATAAAGCTGGGATTAGCAGTTCTAATACAGGGATTCTGGTTATTTTACCTTACTCTCCTAGGATTAAATTATGAACTTGGGTTAAACAGAGGAAAAATATCAATCTATAGCATCTGATACTCTTTTTATACATATTATGGAAGAGGGCGATACTACTATCATAGCTGCCAGATCACTATTGCAGGTGGTAAAGTTATTATGAAGTTACATGGGTATTTTTGTTTGTCAGTTTCTTTTAAAGGGTGAAACCACAAGCATATTGGGTTAGTGCTCTGGGAGGAGAGAAGAACAAAGCTGGTGACATGCATGGAGCACCTGCATTAGTCTGATGGAGATTTTGGCAGAAGATCTAACTTCAAACTCTGTTTGTTGTTATTGTTATTTTTGATGTTGTCATCAACTTTTTATGTAGGGTTTTAGGATTTGAAATACCAGAGGCAAGCTAGGCCTATTTCTAATCACCTCTTTTCTAGCTACTGATATTCTAAAGAGGGACAATTGCTCATCTTGATGGGCAGAGGTCCAGAATATTCTCTGAATCACATTTTCTCCATGAGTAAAGGTTCCTGTGTTAGACATATTACCAGTCTCTTCTCTACAGCCTTTTCTCCAAAAGGACTTACTGATTTGTCAGAGGACTTTATTAAGCAGCTCTTATCAATGTCCTCTACCTACCTGGTCATGGATGGTCAGGGCCTGTCAGCAGTTATCAATAAAAGAATAAATGAATTCCATTTGGCCACTGGCTCTTTGTGTAATCATTCGATAAGATCCCATGGACAGGAATGAAAATAGGCATAGATGATTTAGAGGGAAGAATTTGAACTTTCTCCAGTCTCTGGCAGTAATGTTTGGGGTCCCTCAGCTGATTCTACTGATAGACATGATGAACTCTTTTAATATATTTATCCAAAATGTCACCTTTAATAGGTCACCATCAGTTGGAGATTGCTTCCAAACATGGCTGCAATTTCCTACCCTTATCTATATCTATGTCCTTTTGCCATGTGATCTTACAGCTCCCCCAGTCATGAGGTGGAGTCTATTTTTTCACCCTTAAATCAGGCTTACCTAATAGAATTCAGTGCCAGTGATGGTGTGGCAGTTTCAGGTCCAGGCCTCATGAGGCCTTAAGTGCTTTTGCTTGATTTCTTATGCCCAGGCTAGTCTGCTGGAGGATGAGAGGCCAGTCACCAGAGCCACGTAAGCTTAGTTGCCCCAGCTGAGGTCCCAGACATGGAGAGACCCCAGCCAAGATTACCGATATGGTTTGCATTTGTGTCCCTGCTCATATCTCATCTAGAACTGTGGTCCCCTGTGTTGGAGGAGGGGCCTGGTGGGAGGTGAGTGGATCATGGGGGCAGATTTCCCCCTTGCTCTTCTCATGACAGGGAGTGAGTTATCATGAGACCTGGTTGTTTAAAAGTCTGTGGCCACCTTCCCCTCCTCTCTCTCTTCCTCCTGCTCCAGCCATGTAGGATGTCCCTGTTTCCCCTTTGCCTTCCACCATGATTGTAAGTTTCCTGAGGCCTCTCCAACCATGCTTCCTCTAGAGTCTGCAAAACCATGAGCCAATTAAATCTCTTTTCTTTATAAATTACCCAGTGTCAGGTAGTTCTTTATACAATGCAAAAATGGAGTAATACAATCAGCAAAGCTATCAGCCTAACTTGCAGCTGACGACAACATGTAAAGGTGCTCTGCCATGACCAGATGAACAACTCAACCGAGCACAGCCAAAATTGCCAACACTTAGGAGCTGAATCTTTTTTTTTTTTTTGGGACTACGTATTGGTATGATTTGTTAGCCAGTCATAGCTAGCCGATATACCATTCTGTTTTATTTCTGTATGTTAATCATGTCTATCATCACCCAAGAGATGTTATTGCTGGGGACAATGAGTAGTTATTAAGTGACTATACTCTCACGAGGCTGAGCTATGCACATTACAACACAATTTACCCACAGACGCGTTTAAGAACTCAAATTTAGCTGACATCTCAAATATTCTGATTTAAATATGCAACTATACTCATTTGAAATCATACTATTTATCACACCAGTTTTTTGTATACAATATGTTTCTAGGCACAATACAGATTGCCTCTATTATAAACCACAGGGTGTGATCTACAGGAAATAGCACATTTTTTTCTTATTTTACACTGCAATTAGTATGTTTAAATCACAGAGCGAATCCAGAATATCAATCTGCTTAGCGTGTCTCCATTTAATTCACTAACAACATAAAATATATGTACATTTGGCAGTTGAAATGAAAAATAATGAGGCACTTAGAGAAATTAGATTACCACATTATAATATAGTAAGACTTTAATGATACGAGTAGCATATACCATACATTTTGGTATGTGAGAAGCTATACAATTATCAACAGTGTGGATTTTTTCCTTTTGGTTGCCAGAAAGTATTCATGTGATTTACAATCAGATGTAATAATGTTGTTCTATTGGAGTAAAATCTATTATGACACACATCAGTTTTATTAATTCTATTCTATTGGATAATTGGAGACCTCCCCTGTTTTTTAAAATGACAGACTAGAGACCTCAGCTCATTTTACACTTTTTAATTGCATGCTCGTCTTTGGCTAAATCTTTTTCATAAATTTCAATTCAACAAAGCAAAAATGTAGCACCAAGTTAAAGCTTAATGAATTGGTTAGAATTAGCTCAGAAGTCAAAGAAACTGGTTTAGTTGTTGTCGTTTAAGTATTTCTTCTTAATTGATTTGAAGTTTAGTTGAAGAGAGCCATGCCTGAGTCACTCATGTCACTGCTAACATTGAGTATGTATGGTTTGCTGCTAAGATGTCAGAGCAAATGGAAATAGCTTATGAGTAGTGGGCAAAGTTATAATCACATCTGCTGAGAGTTTCAAGATCCCTTGGCATGCAGTCTCCAGCAGATACCTGGCAGAGTTGTAAAATGCCACACAGGAGTGGCTTTTGGTTATGGCATATAGCACTGTCGTCTCTTTTTCCAGAATGACAGCGACACATACTCATTTCAGTAAATTGACTTCGCCAAGTGATACATTCTTTGGAAAAGTTCAAGCCCAGCAAATAGAAAAAAAAGGACAAGGTAGCATATTGACATGGGAGAGATTTGCATGGCATTTCATAATGTGTCAAATAAGATTAACAGCACTGTATTTTTCTCCATTAGAAACAAATTCCAGCTGGGCGTGGTGGTAAAGCCTGTAATGCCAGCACTTTGGGAGGCTGAGGTGGGAGGATGACTTGAGCCCACAGGTTCAAATCCATCCTGGGCAACATAGTGAGACCCTGTCTCTAGAAAAAGTTTAAAAAATCAGCTAGGCATGATGGCACATGCCTGTAGCTCCAGCTACCTGGGAGGCTGAGATGGGAGAATTGCTTGAGCTTGGGAGGTAGAGGCTGCAGTGATTTGTGATCCCATCGCTGAACTCCAGGCTGAGTGACAGAGTGAGACCCTGTGTCAAAAAAATAAAAAAAATGAAAAATTCAGTATGAGTACTATCTTGGCACAGCTGGATAGAATTATCTACCTAAACACATACTCAGCAAAAACTAATAGCTTTGCTAAGGTCAGATGATTTCATTGTTCTTTTTGGGAGTTTTTTTGTTTAGTTGCATTTACCACTTTAGATGGATAACTTAGTGCCATTTTTCCTGAGCTCTTTTAAAATAATTTTTAAGTTGAAAAGCACAAACTAATAGGAAGTCACCTACCAAACAAAACTGACAAACTGACAATGATGTCATCTTATGAAATCAATGGAATCATCTTTCCTCCTGCCATGGTCTGGATATTGTGTCCTTCCAAAATAATATGCTAAAATGCTAACCCCCAAGGTGATGGTTAGGAGGTGGGACCTCTGGGAAGTGATTCCTCATGCCTGGGTTAGTGCCCTTCTAAGACAGACACAAGGAAGCCCATTAATGAAGAGAACAACACAATAAAAAGGTAATATCTATGAGAAAGTGAGCCCTTGCCAGACACCTAATCCACTGGTAGCTTGATCTTGAACTTCCCAGCCTCTGGAACTGTGAGAAATTAATTCCTATTGTTTATAAGATACCCAGATTAAGGTAGTTTGTTATAAGAGTCCCAACCAACTAAGACACCTTCCTTACTTAACAACATGTCTTATAAGGTCTAGTACAAATAGGAGACATAGGAAGCTCTGCCTTGAATGGAAATGATCTGACTTACACAATTTAGTGCAGGAGGGAAAAGAATGAGTTTCCTAGCTTCTTATTTGAGGTGTGGGAGGTAGAACACAAGGATGGAGGTAAAGGTCCAGGATGGGTCAGGCATTGGAAAGAGTTTGGTTCTAAAAACTTTTAGGTAGAGATGGGCATCTGAGACTAACTGTGCTATCCAGTGGCAGAACGGAGGAAACTAAAATAAGATCCTGGACTTCAGCCAGACCAGAAGTCTCAGGCTCCCAAACTACAGTTACCAAAGAGTGATGCAAGCCAATGAGTACACCAGGTAGGCAGGTGGGACACACGAGAAGAAATTGTGTCAGAAGCTCCTGAAGGAAGCCTTCAGATATTGAGAAAACCATAGGTCATTATATACTGAGCAGAGTGATTCAGAAACATTTAACAAGTTGGACCACAGCAGCCACTTCCTTCTTCAACCAGGAGGAAGCTGCTAATATATTTCCCACTAAATATATTAGTGAGCCAAGCTCAAGTTCAAATATACAAAGCCCCAGGGTTGAATGGCAGTAAATTATTCCAAGAATATATAATATAAATATAACTCATAGGCAATACCTTTTATTCTTCATGCTACTCTCTTGCACAGCATCGCAACTTGATCTTACACTCACTGCATCATGTGCAGTCCAATTGAACCCAATTTACTGATATAGAAAGAGAATCAGAGTATTGGTGACTTGTTCATAGTGCCCCAAGTAGGAAGGGGCAGAATTGAACTAGAATTTAAGGCTTGTAACAGCTGGCTGAGCCTTTTCCCCTCTATTGCAGGCCTTAGCACACTGTATCTGTAAAGGGCCATTGTATGGGATGAATTACGCCTCAACCCCTGCTAATTCATATGTTGAATTCCTAACCCCTACTACTTCAGGATGTGACCTTATTTAGAGATAGAGTCTTTACAGAAGTAAGTTAAAAATGAGGT
Organism: Homo sapiens; assembly: GCF_000001405.40. Classification (NCBI taxonomy): domain Eukaryota; kingdom Metazoa; phylum Chordata; class Mammalia; order Primates; family Hominidae; genus Homo; species Homo sapiens. The sequence goes on along the minus strand of NC_000013.11, from coordinate 74,835,232 downwards.
CATTAGTATGGGTCCTCATTCGATATGACTGGTGTCCTTCAAAGAAGAGGAAAATGTGGACTCAGGCAGAGAAGCAAGACAATGTGAAGACACAGGGAGAAGGTGGCCATCTGCAAGCCAAGGAGAGAGGCCTGGAACACATCCTTCTCTTCCAGCCCTCGGTAGGAATCAACCCTGGCAACACCTTGATCTCAGACTTCTAGGCTCCAGAACTGTGAGACAATAAATTTCTGTTGTTTTAGCCGCCCAGTCTGTGGTGCTTTGTTGCAGTAGACCTAGCAAACAAATAAGGCCATAAAGTAAACATCTTTGACTTTGTGGACCATAAGGTCTTTGTCACAATTACTCAACTTTGCTGTTACAGCACAAAAGCGGCCATAAACAGTATGCAAATGACAGGGTAGAGATATGTTCCAATAAAACTTTATTTACAAAAACAACCATTGTAGGCTGCAGTTTGTCACTGCTATTCTACACTTTGTTGCTCTGAAAATGGGTGCTTAGAAGGTTATGAATGGCCAAGTGTAGGCCCAGAGGCACATGGTAATGAATGAAGTTGGCTGGAAATCTGCAAAACTGAAAACAACAATGGCAACAATTATCTTCAGATTGTTCTCAGTCCCCCTTGGGAATAACTTTCTATCTGGTTTGTAGTGACTGCCAAACTTTGTATGTAGGCACATTATTTTGGGTTAAAGATGGTTACTTTATTTTATTTTTTTGGCTACTCTTCCCATCCAACAGGTGGAATCTATTTACTTCCCCTTAAATTGGGGATGGCCTTGTGATTTGTTTTGACCACTGGGAATGCCACAGAAGTAAAGCCATACCAGTACCAGGCCTAAGCCTTAAGAGACCTGGAACTTCTGCATTCACTCTCTTGGAGCTCTTATAAAGAGGTCCAGCTACCCTTCAGGAAAGACTACGTAGAAACAGGAAGAGAGATGTCCAACAGGTCCCTACATATTCCAGCCATCCCAGCTGAGGCATCAGACTGTCCTTGCAGTCTCAGCTGAGCTTCCACTGAGTATAGCCTCTTCTTTTTTTCTGCTTCCACTCTACCAGGAAAATGTAACCTCTTGAGTGCCCCAGCTGATGCCACATGGGAACAATCCATTCCTACCCAGCCTGTCTAAGTTGCAGAACCGTGTGTAAATTCATGATTGTTGTTTCAAGGCACTAAATTTGGATAGTTTGTTATACAGTGATAGGTATCTGACAAAGACAGCACACTGCCCTCCATTTGCCCAGGATATCTACTCTTAGCCCAACATAAGTTTCCCTGATCAAGTAGCATTTAGTGTTCCTAATGCCTTGTGTCCAAGTGTTCTCGGACTTTCCATCAAGACTCATGTACCTTGAGGAAATTTCAGATATTATAGTAAGTGGCTGGGATGGGAACAAAGGGAACTGTGGGGTAAAGACCTGTAATATTAGAACTTACGTCTTTGACCTAAATGCCCTACTGAGGTTACAAGACATTTTTGGTGGAAATGTGGTAAGGAGAAATATTCTTAATCTAAAGCACAGTATCAAATTATCCTTACCATCGTCTTACTTTTAGGAGCTACAAAGACATAGCATGAACATGAAGTTATCCAGTTCATTCTCACTCCAGTTGAGTTGTTGGCTCTTTGGCCTTCTGGAGAGGGCACCCTTATATGTCATTTTTTGTAGCCTTTCCTATTTTATCAGTCTAAACTGTGTTCTAAAGTAAGTTTTGTAGCTGAACATCACCCATGCTTCTTAAGATGCAGCGTTAGATTATGTGCCTCTTATTTAAGGAAGAAAATGTCTGGCCTTTTCTCAAATAGGAGAAACTATGGACTTGAATAATTGACTTGATTCAATGACTGAATCATTTTCTAGAATGACTTGAATTATTTTTCAGAACTAATGTTTTTGTATGGCTATACTAGAGACTATAATCAGAGTGAACACTTGGGTAAGACCATTCATTCCTTACCATTGACAGATGACATTTCCTAATGAACAGCTATCCCTTGTCATTTACTCCTCAGAAACCACTGACAGAAACTCCCCTAGAAACACATGAAGTTTCCTTTGTTCTTGCCATCAAACTATATATATGTATTACATATGTATATGTACTCCTTCAAAATTACTTTTTTGCTAGATTATATGTATTTCAGTTACTTCTAATTTATAAAAGGTATGTGTGTAAAAGAAATATGTATACATGTATATAATATACATATTGCAAATAAGAAATAATTTTGGAAAAAAGAAATATAGAAATAAAACTGAGAAGTTAGGATGAGCTTCTGGAACCCTGACACTGGCAGACTCTGAGGAGCTTACTGTTTGGGTGATTCATCCCTTGCACAAAGTAAATTTCTCCCAAATTCCTGACTCTTTTTCACCCGTGCTCATAACACTACCTAAAATTTTACCAATTAGAGATTCGTTAAGGTTATTATCTGCTTGCTAAAATGTATAGAATTATCAACGTGTTAATGGGCTATGAGTTCTTCACACATTTGTAGATTGGCCCAACAAAATAATACTTAGAATTTGGCTTGCAGCTTAGTTGACACCATGCATTCCTATGGTTTATATTTTAAATTTTATTCCTCATTATCATCATGTGATTTAGGCAAAGGACTATTACAATTTCTTACCAGAGCAATATCAGACACAGGGTTTAATTGTCTTTTTTCTAACTTCAACCCAAGAGCCATCCCACAAATAGATTCTGAAATGTGGTTTTAGGAAAATGAAGTAAATGGTTTCTGGGAGTGAGTCTGGAGAAGAGGATAGGGAATACAGAAGGGGAAATGAAGAACGACAAGGCCCTGGGCTTGTGGTTGTCAGTGGAGAGGGGTGCCATGCACCAAGAGAACAGTATAAAAAGTGAAGTGAGAAAGCAATTTCACAACTCTTTTAAATAATCCCTGCCATTAGCAATGAGTAAGAAAAGCTCTGTTTTGTCATCCTTCTCCTGTCCTCTCTGAATGACTGGGTCTGCTCTCAGGACATAGGTCTTCGGCCACATTTCAACTATATTAATAGTTGCGTATATTTTGTGTGATATCTTAGCAACATGATCGCTATGTACACAGTTGTATTTTTTTAAAGTGGTCAGTTGAAACAACTGCTTTTTAGATTTTTGGAATAAAGTCAATTTTTAAACTCAGAATTCCCTACCTATGTTTCAGGGTTGCTTTCTTGCTGTTATGTCTCTAAAGAGAGTGGACCACATCTTAAAAATGGACTTGCTTTAGAAAGAGCATCTTGTGTCCATCACTTCAATAAACTGGGGACAGACTGAGGCAATTACATCATAAACTCTTATTTTTAAAATGAATTAAAAAGAAACCTTTTTGACAGGTGACTTTGCAATTCACAGATTTCCTGATACTGTTCTCTAAATCTAAAACAACCTCATTGTACATGCTTATAAGCATCTATAAATATAAATACTAGAGCATATTTCCAGTAAACTGAGGGAAGATAGTTATAAGCACACCTTGGAGATGCTGTGGATTCAATTTCTGATCACCATAATAAAATAAGTCATATAAATTTTTGGTTTCCTAGTGCATATAAAACTTATGTTTATACTGTAGTCTTAAGTATGCAATAGCATTATGTCCATAAAAAGAATGTACCTACTTGAGTTACAAAATACTTTAAAATGCTAATGATCATCTGAGCCTTCAGTGAGTCTTAACTTGTTTGCTAGTGGAAGGTCTTATCTGTATGCTGATGGATGCCGACTGATCAGGGTGGCGGTTGCTGAGGTTGGGATGGCTGTGGCAATTTCTCAGAATAAGACAATGAAGTTTGCCACATCGATTGATCTTCATTTTATGAAAAATTTCTTGGTAACGTGATGCTGTTTGATAGCATTTTACCCACAGTAGAACTTCTTTCAAAATTGGAGTCAATGCTGTCAAATCCTGACACTGATTTTTCATCTAGGTTTATGGAATATTTTAGATCAGTTCTCATTTCAACAATATTCACAGCATCTTCACCAGGAGTAGATTCCATCTTAAGAAACCACTATTTTTGCTTATTCATTAGAAGAAACTCCTTATCCCTTCAAGTTTTATCACAGTATTGTTAACAATTCAGTCACATCTTCAGGCTTTACTTCTAATTCTAGTTCTCTTGCTATTTCAACAACATCTGCAGTTACTTCCTCCACTGAAGTCTTGAGCCCCTTGGACTCATCCATGAGAATTGGAATTAATTTCTTCCAAACTCCTATTAAAGTTGATATTTTGACCTCCTCTGATGAACCATGAATGTTCTTAATGGCAGCTAGAATGGTGAATCCTTTCCAGAGGTTTTTCAATTTATTTTGCCCAGATCTGTCAAAGGAATAATTTTCCATGGCAGCTATCGCCTTACAAAATGTATTTCTTAAATAATATATTTGGAAGTTGAAATGACTCCTTGATCCACGGGAAGCAGAGTGGATGTTCTGTTAGCAGACATGAAAACAACCTTAATCTCCTTGTGCATCTCCAACAGAGCTCTTAGGTGGCTAGAAGTCTTTTTCTGAGTAGCGGTTCTCAACAATGGGCTTAGAATATTCATTTAACCTTGCTGTAAAAGGATGTGCTGTCATCTAGGCTTCGTTTTTCCATTTCTAGAGCACAGGCAGAGTAGATTTAGTATAATTTTTAAAGGCCCTGGTACTTCAGAAATGGTAAATGAGCATTGGCTTTAAGTCACTAGCTGCATTAGCTTTTAATAAAAAAGTCAGTCTGTCCTTTAAAGCTTTGAAGACAGGCATTGACTTCTCTAGCTATGAAAGTCCCAGATGGCATTTTTTCCCCAATAGATAGCTATTTCATCTACATGGAGGATCTGTTTTTTAGTGTAGCTACATTCATCAATTATCTTAGATCTTCCGGATAATTTGCTATAGCTTCTACATCAGCATTTGCTGCTTCACCTTGCACTTTTTTTTAGAGGTGGTGAGATTTTATTTCCTCAATTCTGAGCTAAAAATTCCACACATTTGGCACATGTGTTACAAGGAGGGGGAAAAGCAGGGAAACACCACTGTATACCTCTCATATTTTGGTACTGCGAGTACAACCATAACTTTGTTTGCTATTGGCAACTGGCAATCACCTCTGTGTTTACATTGAAAGCGGTGGGCATTGGTGATATTCACCATACAATACTGGTGGGCATGAAGCAGCTTTCTTTCCATTCTTCTGAATGTGATCTTCATTCATTTTCTCCAAAGCTTCTGTCTTAGCTAAAAAAATCCCCTTCATTATCTGCTGAGATGTTTAAAACAGCATTGAAGAGGTCTCATTCATTAATGGCTTTCCTTACTACTCCTTTCTGGAAAAAGTGTGAGACATTTTATAGTCATGGAACAATGATTCCAGTCCATTAAGACACGTTGGTTCTTCTGACTGACTGATGTCAAACAACCAGACCTTTGCAGCATGCCAAAGTATGTTATACTTGCTGAGGTTGGTATAAAAAAGTGTACATTCATTACATAACCGCTGCATCAAATGAAGAGTTTGTTAGTAGGTTTCTTCCATTCCTTCACTACTGAGCTTTACTTCTTTTAATTTAGGGGCTGGAACATAATCATGGCCAATAAAAGACATAACTAAAATGTATTTCTTGCACTCAAGTTGTATAACTGTTGGATGAGGAATTCTAGTTCTCTGCATTCTTGAGAGATTGTGGATTTCGCTTTCTGCCCACATGTGAATAATCTTATGTGGACTTAGTTTACTGAGGTGATCTTGAAACCTAAGATCATCTTTAACTTATTTGTCATGAATCTTCCACTCATTAAGGGTTGTTGTAAATACCATGATGGCACATTCTGTAGGTATAACTTTACTATATTTCTTTTCATCCTCCGTGCTCTTTCTGTATACATGAAAGACAATAGATTTCTCTCCTGTACTAATAGTCAATGATTGTCTCAAACATTCCAGAGTTGACCATTTTTACATAAGAAAACATGTCTCAGGATCAACTGCATTTTCTTCCGTAGAATGCTCCTTTTTCTTGTGGAGGCAGGCACTTTGCTGTTCTTCTGAGTAGGCATGGTGTTTTGAAGCATCAAAAACTTTGTTTGGTAGTTTTAAATCCATTCTGTCTTCTACCTGAAATGCAGGTGCAAAATTTTCCGTTCTTGCTGGATTCTTTCTCCCACATACTACTTCATGATGTTTGGTGGCAATGCCTTTTCCTTTTCCAATAAAACCCTTTGTGGGAGTGGGAACTGGTTTTGCTAGTCAGTAGAGATCATCATGAGTATCCTGCCAATCAGCCTCACCTTCAGAGCTATCACTGTCTTCATCAGGATGCACTTTTCAATAATTTTCAAAGGACATGGAAACTTTTCTATCTCCACTGAATTTTCTTTTCTTTATGTCTAATTGTGCATCATATTCTTTGCCAAATTCCATGTATAATATCTGAGCCAACATTAGGTCACTGGAAGTGTCAATGTTTTCTTCAGTAATAAATGGTCTTTTAGCAACAGCTACTTGAGGAAAAGTGACAGTTTCTTCCCCTAACTGCAGTTCTTTGACCAACTGTTCACTCATTATATCAGCCAAAGAACAAGATATTGTCATTTGAAGGGTAGCCCATGGACAATTCCTGAGTCCCCAGGCCACTGCTGGCTTGGGCTTAGGCAATGTCACTTCCGCCAGATTTTGGAGGGGAAGAAGTTCAGTAACAAGAACAGAGCACAGAGGTGGTAGGACAGGAAGCAGGCTCTACCAAGGAGATAGGTGGAGCCAAGGTAACCAGAACTGAAGTGACAGATCCATCTCACATTTTTATGTGATAAAGATAGTTTCTATCCCTAAGCTTCATGAATGAACCGCTGCCAGCTTCAGGTTTTCTCCTTTGCATCTTCCTCACCTCTCTCAGCCTTTACAGAATAGAAGAGAGTTAGGGCCTTGCTCTGGATTAGGCTTTGGCTTAAGGGGATGTTGGTGCTAGTTTGATCTTCTATCCAGACAACTAAACTTTCTCATATCAGCAATAAAGCTGTCTTGCTTTCTTAACATTTGTATGTTCACTGGAGTAGCACATTTAATTCCCTTCAAGAACTTTTCTTTTATATTCACAACTTGGCAAACCGTTTGGTGAAAAAAAATCTAGCTTTTGGCCTATCTTGGCTTTCAATATGCCTTCCTCATTAAGCTTAATTATTTCTAACTTTTGATTTAAAGTGAGAGATGAGTCACTCTTCCTTTTACTTGAGTATATACACCATTGTAGAGTTTTTAATTTGTCTCATTTCAATATTGTGTCTCAGGGAATAGGAAGGTGCAAGAAGAAGAGAGGTGGTAACAGCCAGTTAGCGGAGCTGTCAACACACACACAACATTTACCTACTGTTTTTGCCATCTTATATGGGTGGGGTTCCTGATACCCAAAAACAATTGTAATAGTAACATCAAAGATCACTTACCACAGGTCACCATAATAGATATAATATTAATTTTAAAAGTTTAAAATATTGCAAGAATTACCAAAATTTGACACAAGTGTGTACATGACATTGGAAACATGGGGCTGATAGACTTGCTCACTTCAGGGTTGCCACAGTGTCTGTGAAGCACAATAAAGTGAAGTAGAAAACAATGGAGGTATACCTGTAATTAATGTTCACTGTGTAATCCAAATGGAAATTAAATATAGGGGTTCACAAGCTAAATACATCTTAGAGACCCTTTAATCCAAGGAGGTAAGAGGAGAGAGACCATCCACTTGGTAACCAGAAAGGTATATATATACCTTTAGTGTGTTCTTTTTCCCCTAGACTCAACTGGGAATAATGTTTAATCACATGTTTTTTCTTACATGCCTAGTTTGAATAACAGTTATACAACTGTATGCTACTTGCAGCTCTTGATCTTCATTATCAACATTTAAGTGTTCTTTGGGGGCTGTTTTAAGACATGCTTTACATTATGGATATTGATGTCACCTCTTTTTCATCCTCTGATTGAAGCTGCAGCCTTCCTTAGATAATAAGATTTTCCAAATTCTAACCTCCAGTTAGATGCAAATCAGAGGTTTTTGGGGGCATGTACCATGTCTTGTTTTATAGTTAAACAAGTTAAATAATTAGTGTCTTAGTTCGAGACGCTGTAACAAAGTACGATAAACTGGGTCACTTATAAACAGCAGAAATGTATTTCTCACAGGCCTGGTGGCTGGAAGTCCAAGATCAGGGTGCCAGCATGCTGAGTTCTGGTGAGGGCCCTCTTCCAGGATGTAGACTGCCAGTTTTTCATTGTAGTTTCACATAGTAGAAATTGATTGAGCTAACTCTATTTGCCTTTTTATGAGAACACTAATTCCATCATAGGGGTTCCATCCACCCTCATGACCTAGTTACCTCCCAAAGGGCTCACCTCCTAATACCATTCTGTTGGGGGTTAGGGTTTCAACATATGAATTTGGCAGTGGGGTACGTAAACACACAATCCATGATAGCAGAGTAATGGTGAATTCTCCCTGTTTGCATTTAAATGGTTTGTAAAATCCCTCTAGGTGAAATAGCATATTGTATGGAATCATAGGAGGAGATTTTAGCATGTGAGCCACAGTGAGACAGAAAGCACATAGGATTTGTGTTAAGACAGACATGAATTCATTTCTTAGCTCTGCAAAACAGGGCTGAAGTTTCCTGAACCTTCTGAATTCCAGCAGAGAAAATCTGGTCCTAAACCAATTATCTAGTTACATCTTTATCTATAGAATATATATCAACTTGTCTGCTTCAAGAAATTAAATTGGGACAATTGACACTGATCATCAGCTGCTTTCTGTAAATCAGTAAAACAAAATTATTACTTTTTTCTTAAATTCAGACATTATTTGTATTATATAGATCTTACTAATTTTCCTCCAAATTTAGTATTGATTTGTATGATATTGAGCAAATTAATATGCTATACCAGCATATCAAATCTACCTTAGCAAAATTTGACAGATCATCTTTTAATGTTTTGCTACTCCTGCTTAACAATCCTCAGTATCTCTATTGTCTCATACCTGCATTTGTCCTCTGGGTGAAGGTAGATTAAGGCATAGGGAGAATCCTATTTTCTGGACTTTTATTTCTTTATTTCTGACTCCATCATACATCAAACCATCAATATGTAAAGTTCTTTGTGACAGTTTTTGAATCATTCCATGTCTGCATTTTGACAGCAGGAATAATGGTTTTAATGACAGACACTCATCTTCCCAGTAAGTAAGAAAAGATGGAAATGCAATGTTTCTCTTTACTTTATGAGTGTATTGTTATTTGTCATTTATTAACATTGTTTTGACTATTCTCATCATGAATCATTTTTCATGAGCAGACTTTATTCTTTGGCAACACATCTCCCATTTCCTGTTGAGAAATCCCCTCTGGGAGACATTAATTCAGCTACTGAGGGACATTCTGTTTCCTTTTACAGGCAATGACTGCACAGCCTGCAAGAGGCCTGTTTTGGACATTAGTTGTTAATGTAAGTAATAATGATAATGAATTGCCTACTTGAATGTTGTATACATATGTCTAAAAGGGTTGCCTTTTAAAAATAGATAATGAATAGAATAGGCTTTGGACAAATGTGATCTCTGAATGAAGGCATCTTCTTGTTTATTAACAGCCACAGGTGTTCTGAGTCCATGTCTTCCAGGCCAGTGACCCTGATTGTAAAGGTCACTTTACATACTGTCATTTCATGACTTCTGGCTTTCTCATGATGGATTAAAACAACAAAGGAATCAGAAAGAAAAAAAGGGAGGGGGAGCTGATGGGAGGCAAACTCAATGAGACATTGCATTGCTTTTTCTGTAGTCTCTGGTTCCTGGTGAGAGGTGAGAGCAGCATCCTGGTGGCCTCCTGTAGAGATGGGGGCTGTTTGGCCGAATCCCTCTCTCTGCTTGATCAGCTCACAAAGAGCTTGTGTGCGCTATGCTGGTAATCCAGCTCATCTGTTTCATCTGCCTCCTGTGAGATAGGGGAATAAAAAATAGGTAAAATACTCTAGAGAAGCTTGAAATGACTGATGACATTGTCATGTGGTATCACTTGGGCTTGCATATTAAGTCATGCTTCCCTCTGCTATGTCTCCCACTTCTGGAAAAGAATTTAAAATCAAACAGGATAGCTTGATAGGTAGAAAGCAGAAATGTGTACATTACAGGTTAAATCTGACTTTTTTCTCTGGGAGAAATAAACTAAGAACATGAAAATCGGGGCTCACAACCCAGGTTTTCCTTAGCAGGACTGATTTTGAGAAAGTTGGAGTTAGAAAAATCTATGCCCTGTGCTTTGGGTCTGTACTGTTTTCAATATTACAATACAATTTAATGTATAATGTCTATGTGTCATTTAGTTGTTCTTATGTTCCATGAATTAATTTATTATTCAAAAACAATGTCAATTATTTTTACCCAGTTTACAAGTGACATAGAATTTGAGGAAAAAGAGTAAAGCACAAACTTATTTGAAAATATAAAGTTGGGATGGAGTCAAACTCTGAATGGATCTGAACATTGGGCATTTTCTGAGGATTGATGACCAGCTAGGAGGAGTTGATGGTCCTTGGCTGAAACTTGGGCCATTAACTCTAGCCAGTCATTAATTGCCTGGAAATGTCCTGGGCTGAGGTCATTATTGCTATTATAAACTGAATTAATGCCCTGTGCTTTAGCCAATAAGATTATTTGAATTATCTTTATTCTCCATTCAATTTATAATTATAAAAATGTACCAGAGGCAATCAGACCAGATGATAGATTAATCACATGCAAAATTACATTCTAAATGAATTGTTGTGGATTCATACAGCTACCCAAAGCATTTGAAGAAGTTGATTCCTCTGTGTTGGCATTTATTGAAGTTGATTTGCTAAGCTGCACCCCAGTTCCTCTACCCTACTTCCTATCATTGGTTCAAATTCAAGTAAATACATTGAATGAGATTTTCAATTCACAATGTATAGATTCAACTTCCTGGAAGATATAATAGTTTGATTTTGAGGTATGAAAAATTGGGATGGTGGGCATGGGGATAGCAGAGTGGGTAGATGTGGGAAGAATATAAGTCCATGAATAAAAAGCTATATAAAACCTAAAACATATATACACAGACACAATTGCTTGACTTTGTGTCGTATTTTGCAGCCTTACAATTATTTTTATATTCATTATTTAACTTTACTCTTTCAGTAACATTTTCAGTGAAGTATGGCAGATATTATGATTCCATTTTATATAGGAGAAAATTGAGGTCTGAACGTTTAAGCAATTTGCTTTGTGTGGCATCTTTACAGATGACCAGAGCTGTCCTCAATCCAAGTTTGTTTCTCCAGTGTTAGTCTATAGCAAGGATCATTATTTTGTCCTGGGATGTTCTTTTAAATTTTTATACTGACAGTGACTCAGTACTACTAATAAGTATTAGAATGTCTTTAAAAGCCTTTTTCAAGGTATGTCCAAACTTCTTGAGTTCTTTGGAGGAAGAGTGCTATAGAACTAACAAGTAATACAGCATTTTGATACTTCAGGATGAGAAGATCCATTTGCTGCTCTATCTTCTCAGGGTCTGCTTGAGTATTTGTTTTGTTCTTAAGCCATTCATATTTGTGTTAACTATAACATAATTAGGTAAATTATTGTATTTATGTGATGTTTTTATATGTCTGTATTCTAGTCTATATGTGGAAAGCCTCTTAAATAAAGAAACCTGCTATGATATAACCAGAATTTTACTGGCATACTACAGCAAGGAAGAACAATTACAAAGAAGTTCTGAAAAATTATTTGCGAATTAATTAACCAAGAAAGAATGAGTTTTTATTGTTTATGGATTGCCCTAAGAAGTTCTTAGGATATGATATCAGAAGCAGAATGAACATTTGGATGAACTGATTTTTCTCTTAAGGCAAGGGTCAATGCAAACTAGATGATATTATGAGCTAAGAAGTATTATGCAAGCCATATGGCATTCTGCAGTTATAATTATAAAGCAATTGTTCTCATTCTTACGTACCTGGTGGGGGTGATTGTTCCTATTCATCATCCTCAACCTCTTTTCATGGCCAAGCTCTGGCCAGACCAGAAGGGCAGGCAGAGAAGACTCTCATTCCAGATCTACACTACTGTTAGGATCTCTAGATAATACGTTGTCTCAGAAACAACAAACAACAGTTTATAGAGTCAGACTAGGGTCTCTTTTTTCCTCCTTTCATCAAATGAGTTGGATTATGTGATAAGATAGTGACTATGCAGAAACATTTCTAACTCCAGAGAGCCCACACTTGGCAACTGCAACATTCACAAAAACTGAGAGCAGAATGATTAGAATCCAGACCAAGGAAACACATTACAAGGTCTACTGGGGTCTACCTTGAAGAGCAAGGTGAACATCTTGCAGGTGAATTGTTCTATTTGGCCAGTGGTGTTTCTCCAAGTGCACCTGAAGTGTTAGCAATGACACAGATACCACATTGATAAACTGAGAGAAAATCTAAAACTATGACTTTGATAATTACTTCTTGAACTGAAGACTTTAGATTGGTCCGATGAGCTTTCAGAGCTATGAAAATATCATTTATAACATCAGGTAAGATTTAATTTCCTACTACCTTTCCAATTGTATAAATTTCTCACTACCTTTTCCAATTGTATAAACCCCATTATAGGAATTATTACATGAATAATGCATATACAAAAGTAAATTAGTGATTCTTCAGAGTAGCCTGTGTGGCTTCATTTTGTAAGTTCCCGGGCACATGCTGTAAGGAGACCTGTTTCCCATGGGATGTAAAGAAAAGCCAGTAATAATTACCTGATAGATGCAACTGGTTTATTTGTGAGAAACAAGCAAAGGATGGGTTCCATAAATAAAATGGTGCTTAAGAGGGCACAGACTATGTAGTAGTGTAGGAATCATTTAACATGGCAGGTGTGCCAGTTATCTGTTTTGGGAAGGGCAGATTCTCTGGAGTTGAACAACTCTGATAAAGCAGTTGAAGAGTCTCTGAGGAGTAAAAGTGAACTGTACAGAAAAAAATAGCTCCAATATTTATTCCTTACCCTGTTACATGCCTGGCCTCTATGGACAGCACCATAATGATTTTTACAGAAGCACTTTGTTCTTCCAGTCAGAGTCTATTTTTTTTTATGATTAGAAGTTAGGGTTAACAATGTGGGGATATTTTAGGTACCAGAAGGGGCCACTGTGAAGAAGTTGACTCTCTGACTAGTTTAGGGTCATAACTAGTAGACAGAATTGTATCCAGAGGATCAGGCAATCCTGGAAAGTGGGCAAGGTATAATCATTCTAGTCATGACCCTACAATTTTGAACTCTCATTCAAGGGAGGTTAAGAGTATTGCATGGGATAGTGCAAGACATAATAAATCCTATTTCTATTGGTGATTATATTATGGGCCTCAGTCCCTCCTTTGGTTGTGGTTAGAAAGAGTATTTTACCAGTTTGGGTAAAGGGTTGATTAATATAGTCTGAATGTTGATGGGCTCAGTACCCCCAAATCCTACCAATATTAGTAAAATTTTTGGACCACGTGAAGCCCGGTATCTTGCAAAGATCTTCAAGTTATGTCTGCTATATGCTTCTCTGTAAGACAGTGTCCAAACTAGCTATGACCTAATTATGAAAAGGGAAATTCGCTGGAATGTCAAGCAATAAGCCTTTTAAAGAGCATTTAAACTCTTAGTTTCATTTACATAATAAATCTCTTTACCCAGCAAAAATATTCTCTAAAAATGGAGACACAGTGAAGACACTTTGCTAATAGCTGACCTATTCTAAGGGAAGTACTAAAGAGTGTTTTTCAAGTAAAGGAAAATGATTCCAAAAGGAAACTCAAAGATTTAAAGAGAAATGAAAGGCAACAGAAAGAGTAAACATGTGGGTCAATCTAAATGGTTGTTGAGTCAATAAAACTATGATAGTAATGCACTGCGGGATCTAAAATACATTGAGCCTTTCCCATCAGCAAGGCCTGGGGTCCCGGCACTGGTGAATCTCAGGATGTCTGTTGCATTTCACAGGTGAGCCACTTGCCTTCTGACCTCTGAGCAAGCTCTTCCCGCTTTATATTCTGTTTGCCAGAGTTTTGTGTGGTGAGGGAGTTCTCTTTGCTTTCCAGTTTTGCCCTCTGCTTTCTGTGCCTTGGGTGATCCTTTTCATTCCTGCTGTACCACTCTTGGCCTCTGGAGAGGGGATGCAGCCCGTAGATGCTCTGTGAAGAAAGAATTACCTGAGAGGGCTCTCTCCACTCTTCTGCTCCTCTCTCAGTTTTAGTGAGGTGAATGCCTGGAGTTAAGCCTAGGGGTGTAATTTCTCCCTGCCACGATTTGAGGTCTCCCTAAGATGTGAGGGAAAGAACTAGAGGGTGGTGTAGTCTTCCTTTCTGTCTTGGGCCTCCCATCATCATTCACACACAGCCCTAGAAGGCTTGCTGAAAGTTAGACTGGGTACTCATTACCTTTTTCAGTGGCCCATTGCTCCCCTCACTCTCTATTTCAGTCAGGCACAGGAGCTCTGGATCTTTCCTCTTTTTTTATTTTTTATTGTTTTTGAGATGCAGTCTTGCTCTGTTGCCCAGGCTGGAGTGCAGTGGTGCAATCTCAGCTCACTGCAACCTCTGCCCTCGGGTTCAAGCAATTCTCTTGCCTCAGCCTCCTAGGTAGATGGGATTACAGGTGCACACCACCATGCCCGTCTAATTTTTGAATTTTTAGTAGAGACAGGGTTTTGCCATGTTGGCCAGGCTGGTCTGGGACTCCTGACCTCAGGTGATCCACCTGACTTGGCCTCCCAAAGTGCTAAGATTACAGGCATGAGCCACCATGCTCAGTTTTTTCTTCTCTTTTGAGGGCTTGTCACTTTCTGGAGTTTGTTTCATTTAAGTTTCTTTCAGTCCTCAGCTGTCTAATGGATTTCAAGAGAAACTACACTTATATAGTTCATCTGAATTGCTTTTGGTTACTAGCATGTATTACTTATTTTGACCCTAATTACTGATGGTATAATAAGCTTTGCTCTTACAAGTGAAAAGACCTGCCTTCTTTGAATATGGCAGAAGTAGTAGGCCAAATGGTGATGGTAGTGTTGGACATGATTTCAGAGAAAAGAAGACCAATACTAGTTTTACTCCGATGTTAAATTCAAAAATATTCTCTATTATGTGATCCTATGAAGACTGGTCATGTACAATTGTTATTATAGGCTCAGATGTGATTGTTATCAAGGGTTAAAATTCTGTCAAGAATGTATTTCTCTAAGATAAGAAAATAATGTGGTTCTGGGTTTTTAAACATATGAATTGTAGACTAGACTTGCTTGTTTGACTGATATTTTGAGAATTATTAATGATCTTATTGCATGGTGTATTAGTCAGGGTTCTCTAGAGGGGCAGAACTAGTAAGATAGACATATATATAAAGGGGAGTTTGTTAAGGAGTGTTGACTCACAGGATCACAAGGTGAGGTTCTACAATAGGCTGTCTGCAAGCTGAGGAGAAAGGAGCAATGAAGCCAGTCCAACTCTGTCCCAAAGCTGAAAAACTTGGAGTCCAATGTTCGAGGGCAGGAAGCATCCAGCACAGGAGAAAGATAGAGGCCAGTCAATTAAACCAGTCTAGTTTTTCCACGTTCTTCTGCCTGCTTTTATTCTGGCCACCCTGGCAGCTGATTAGATTGTGCCCACCCAGTTTAAGGGTGGGTCTGCCTTTCCCAGTCCACTGACTCAAATGTTAATCTCCTTTGGTAAAACCCTCACAGACACACCCAGGAACAATACTTTGCATCCTTCAATCCAATCAAGTTGACACTCAATATTGACCATCACACATGCATACAATGAAGGAATGTAACAGGTTTTTCAGCAGCAGATAAGACTGAAGAGCAAAAATTAAAGTTAGAAGCTTGAAAGAAAAAGCTTCTTTAGATTATTACAGCATATTTCATAATTAGATAACAAATCAATAAAGTAGGTGATGATCTAGATACTGAATGTCCACAAAATTGTACCACCAAATCTCTCATGAATATGATAAAATACTTTTAATTTTATTTTCCATCACAAAAAGATCTAACACAGGCAATTCGTTCCTTTTGTAAAGTTAAATAACAAATTTGACTATCAGCTTATGGGATAAATTATCAGAACTGGTTACCTACGAAAGACTAAGTATAAATTTTGAAACTGCAGTCATCACTTGTTTGATTTTAGATAAAAATAAAAAATTAATAATTCGAGCTCGTTTAAAAATTTTTTTAAAAAATCTAGCCAAGTGCAGGATTCATTCCTGTAGTCCCAGCATTTTGGGAGTCTGGGGTGCGCAGATCACTTGAGGTCAGGAGATTGAGACCAGCTTGGCCAACATGGCAAAACCCCGTCTCTACTAAAAATACAAAAATTAGCTGGGTATGGTGGTGCATGACTGTAATCCCAGCTACTTGGAAGGCTGAGGCAAGAGAATCGCCTAAGCCTGGTGCAGTGAGCCAAGATTGTGCCACTTCACGAGAACAAGACTCTGTCCTGAAAAAAAAAAAAAAAGAAAGAAAATATCTTCTTCCATTCCCTTCAACATATTTGTTACACTGTGTTTTTTTTCCTGTGGTTTTATGCTTAATAAAAAAATAAACAGTTTAGATCTATATAATCTTTTGCAAGAAGCATTACTGTCAATCTAATTTAGATTAGATAAATTAGTAAGAACCAAGCTCAGTTGTTACCTTAAACATAAATATTGATAAATATGCTGTTCATCAAAAGTGTCCATAAGGTGTTTCATATGTTTCATATGGGGAACCATATTTCAATCACGATTTTTTTCTTTAGTTATGATTGCAGAATGACAAAACTTCATGAGTCTTACAATATTCCCATGTATTACTTGCGTGTATGCGTACTTCAATGAACAACTTGTAGAAGTTTTGTAATTCTTTTATTTTTCTATATGGTCATTCTAATTATATATAGTCAAAGTCACTTTTATATGCACTGAAACTAATGATTTAAAAAGTAGGCTTGAAGTTTGTATGTTATTTTTGTCTACTTAATTTCTCTTACTTTTATTGTACTTTCCAAAAGTATCATTTTGTGGAGGATTGAAATTTAAACAAACAAAACTGGTTCTTTATTACAGATAGTTTGGAAAGCATCATTCTGAAGCAAAATTACAGACTTTCAAAATTTAATATTGTATACCATTTGAGCTATTATTCAATTTGTGCAATTGCTCCCTTGTTATTAAGCAAAACATTTTACTGTCTTCCTATTCCCAAGATTTGTTTTCAATAATAGCAATCCAATGAAAGCTTTAAAAGCTGAAGTATTTTGGCACTTCATTCATGGAATATTTTGATTGAAAATTTCAAATGATTTTGAACAAAATGCTGCTGAAATTTAGAGGGCTCATTTGCAAAATGTTCAATACCATTTTAAGACAATTTAAAAAGTAATTCTCTAGATTTTCAAATACACTAAAGTTTAATTGACATTGGCAGAAAATAAAGTGCATAATGCCATAATGAAATATTTATTTTATAGTCAAGATAAGTCTAGTAACAAAAATTGTGTTGCTCAATAATTCTATGTATATGTAAAAATACTTGTAAATTTGAGTAACTACAACTTCTCTTTTAATTGGCAGAATACTAAAACATATTGGATGCAATTTTGAATTCTGTGTGTACCACGAACAATTCCAAATATATTTTTGCCATAGAACTTTTCTTATTTAATAAAAATATTTTATTATAATGCTTTCCTCCATCAAAATTTATACAGTATTTAAAATATCACCTAAATGCAAAATTTTATCTGTATTTTTAATTTTTAATTTTGTGGGTGCATAGTGGGTGTATATGTTTATGGCTTACATGAGATATTTTGATACAGGCATGCAATATGTAATCATCACATCAGGGTAAATAGGGTACCCATCAACTGAAGCCTTTTTCTTTTGTGTTTTAAACAATCCAGTTATGCTCCTTAAAGTTATTTTAAAATAGACAAATTATTTTTTACTATATTCACCCTGTTGTGCTAGCAAATTCTAGGTCTTATATATTCTATTTTTTTGTACCCATTAACCATTTCTCTTTCCTCCACAATCCCCACCACCCACTACCCTTCTCAGCCTCTGGTAACCATCCTTCTACTCTCTGTGTCCATGAGTTCAGTTGTTTTCATTTTTAGTTCCCGTAGATAATTAAGAACATGTGATGTTTCTCTTTTTGTGCCTGGCTTATTTCACTTAACATAATGACTTTCAGTTCCATTCCTGTTGTTGCAAGTGACAGGATTTCATTCTTTTTATGACTGAACATTACTCCATTGTGTATATGTACCACATTTTCTTTATTCATCTATTGATGGATATTTAGGTTGCTTCCAGATCTTGGCTATTGTGAATAATGCTGCAATAAACATGGGAGTGTAGATATACTGATATTTTCTTATAGTTATATACCTAGGAGTGGAATTTCTAGATTGTTTGGTAGCTCTATTGTTTTATTTTTTGTGGAACCTCCAAACTGTTCTCCATAATGGTTGTACTATTTATATTCCCACCAACAGTGTATGAGTGTCCCATTTACTTGACATCCTCATCAGCATTTGTTATTGCTTGACTTTTGGATAAAAGCCATTTTAACTGGGGTGAGATGATACTCGTTGTAGCTTTGATTTGCATTTCTCTGATGATCAATGATGTTGAACGTCTTTTCATATACCTGTTTGCTGTTTGTATGTCTTCTTTTGAGAAATGTCTATTCAGACCTTTTGCCCATTTTTAATTGAATTGTTAGATTTTTCCTATAGAGTTGTTTGAACTCCTTATATATTCTGGTTATTAATCCTTCAACAATGAGTAATTTGAAAATATTTTTGCCCATTCTGTGGGTTCTCTTCACTTTCTTGATTGTTTCTGTTATTGTGCAGAACGTTTTAAACTTGATGTGATCCTATTTGTCCATGTTTTCTTTGGTTACCTGTGCCTGTGGGGTATAGTGCTCAAGAAGTCTTTATCCAATCCAATGTCCTGGAGTTTCCCCAGTGTTTTCTTTTAATGATTTCTAGTTTGAGGTCTTAAATTTCAGTCTTTAATACATTTTTATTTGATTTTTGTATAAAATGAGAGATAGTGGTCAAGTTTCATTCTTTTGCACATGGGTATCCAGATTTCCCAGGACCATTTATTGAAGAGCCTGCCCTTTCTCCAAAGTATGTTTTTGAAATCTTTGTTGAAAATGAGTTTACTGTAGATGTATGTATTTATTTCCGGGTTCTCTATTTTATTCCACTTGTCTTTGTGTCTGTTTTTATGCCAGTACCATGCCATTTTGGTTACTATTTCTCTGTGGTTTAATTTGACAGCAGATAATGTGATTCCTCCTGTTGTGTTCTTCATGCTTTGGATAGCTTTGACTATTCTGGGACATTTTGGTTCCATATAAATTCTGGGATTTTTCTTTCCATTTCTGTAAACAATGTCCTTGGTATTTTGATAGGAATTGCATTAAATCTGTAGGCTATGTTGGAAAGTATGGACATTTTCGCAATATTGATTCCTCCAATCCATTAACATGGACTAGTTTTCCATTTTTTGTGTGTTCACTTCAATTTCTTGCATCAATGTTTTATAGTTTGATTGCAGAGATCTTCCACTTCTTTGGTTATTTCCTAGGTGTATTAGTCCATTTTCACACTGCTGATAAAGGCATACCCAAGACTGGGCAATTTACAAAGAAAGAGGTTTAATTGGACTCACAATTCCACGTGGCTGGGGAGGCCTCACAATTATGGTGGATGGCAAGGAGGAGCAAGTCACATCTTATGTGGATGGCAGCAGACAAAGAGAGAGCTTGTGCAGAGAAAATCCTGTTTTTAAAACCATCAGATCTCATGAGACCCATTCACTATCATGAGAACAGCACCAGAAAGATCTGCCCCATGACTCAATCATCTCCCTCCAGGTCTCTCCAGCAACATGTGGGAATTATGGGAGCTATGAGATGAGATGTGGGTAGGGGCACAGAACCAAACCATACCATTCTGCCCTTGGCCTCTCCTAAATCTCATTTCCCCACATTTAAAAATCAAGCATGTCTTCCCAATAGTCCCCCAAAGTGTCAACTCATTTCAGCATTAACTCAAAAGTCCACAGTCCAAAGTCTCATTTGAGAAAAGGCAAGTCCCTTCTGCCTATGAGCCTGTAAAATCAAAAGCAAATTGCTTACTTCCTAGATACAATAAGGGTACAGGCATTAGGTAAATACAGCTATTCCAAATGGGAGAAATCGGTTGATGCAAAAGATGGGTTCCTATGGTCTTGGGCGGCTCTGCCCTTGTGGCTTTGCAGGGTATAGCCTCCCTCCTGGCTGCTTTCACGGGCTGGCATTGAGTGTCTGCAGCTTTTCCAGGGGCACAGTGCAAGCTGTTGGTGGATCTACCACTCTAGGGTCTGGAAGACAGTGGGCCTCTGCTCACGGCTCCACTGGGGGTTCCCCAGCAGGGACTCTGTGTGGGGTCTCTGACCCCACAATTGCTTTCTGCACTGCCCTGGCAGAGGTTCTCCATGAGCGCCCTGCCCCTGCAGCAAACTTCTGTCTGGACATCCAGGCATTTCCACACATCTTCTTAAATCTAGGTGGAGGTTCCCAAACCCCAATTCTTGACTTCTGTGCACTCACAGGTTCAACACCACATGGAAACTGCCAAGGCTTGGGGCTTCCACCCTCTGAAGCTGCAGCCCAATCTCTAGGTTGGCCTCTTTCAGCCATGGCTGGAGTGGCTGGGATGCAGGGCACCAAGTCCCTAGGCTGAAAACAGCATGGGGACCCTGCGCCCAGACCACAAAACCATTTTCTTCTAGGCCTCCCTCCTGTGATGGGAGTGATGCAGTGAAGACCCCTGACATGCCCTGGAGACATTTTCCCCATTTTCTTGGGGATTAACTTTCAGCTCCTCATTACTTATGCAAATTTCTGCAGCTGGCTTGAATTTCTCCTCAGAAAAATGGATTTTTCTTTTCTGTCACATTGTCAGGTTGCAAATTTTCTGAGCTTTTATGCTCTGCGTCCCTTATATGACTGAATCAATTTAACAGCACAGCACCCAAGTCCCCTCTTGAATGCTTTGCTACTTAGAAATTTCTCCTCCTGCTAGACACCCTAAATCATCTCTCTCAAGTTCAAAGTTTCACAAATTTCTACAGCAGGGGCGAAATGCTGCCAGTCTCTTTGCTAAAACACAACAAGAGTCACCTTTGCTCCAGTTCCCAACACGTTCCTCATTTCCATCTGAGATCACCTCAGCCTGGACTTTGTTATCCATATTGCTATCAGCATTTTGGGCAAAGCCATTCAACAAGTCTCTAGGAAGTTCCAAACTTTCCCACATTTTCCTGTCTTCTTCTGAGCCCTCTAAACTATTCCAGCCACTGCCTGTAACCCAGTTTCAACGTTGCTTACACATTTTTGGGTATCTTTTTGCAGCACCCCACTCTACCAGTACCAATTTATGGCATTAGTCCATTTTCATACTCCTGATGAAGACATACCTGAGACTGGGCAATTTGCAAAAAAGAGGCTTAATTGGACTCACAGTTCCACATGGCTGGGGAGGCATCACAATCATGGCAGAAGGCAAGGAGGAGTAAGTCACATCTTACATGGATGGCAGCAAGCAAAGAGAGAGCTTGTGCGGAGAAACTCCTGTTATTAAAACCATCAGATCTCATGAGACCCATTCACTATCATGAGAACAGTACCAGAAAGACCTGCCCCATGATTCAGTCATCTCCCACTGGGTCCCTCCCATAACATGTGAGAATTATGGGAGCTACAGAATGTGATTTGGGTGGGAACACAGAGCCAAACCATATCACTAGGTATTTAGTTTTGTTTGTAGCTGTTGTAAATGGGATTACTTTCTTGATTTCTTTTTCAGATTGATTGCTGTTGGCATACAGAAATGCTACTGATATTTTTATGTTAATTTTGTACCCTGAAACTATACTGAACTTACCAGTTCTAATAGCTTTTGATGGAGTCTTTAGGTTTTCCTAAATAATAAGATGATATCATCTGCAACAAGGATAATTTGACTTCTTCCTTTCTAATTTGGATGCTGTTTATTTCTTTCTCTTATCTGATTGCTTTAGCTAGGACTTCCAGTACTATGTTGAATAATGGGCATCATTGGTATTTTCCAGATCTTAGGGGAAAAGCTTTCAGTTTTTCCCCATTCAGTATGATACTATCTGTGGGTCTCTCATATATGGCTTTTATTATGTCGAGTTATGTTCCTGCTATAACAGTTTTTTGAGAGTTTTTATTATGAAGAGATGCTTATCAAATGCTTTTTCAGCATCAAATGAAATGATAATTTAGTTTTTATCCATTCTGTTCATACAATGTGGCACATTGATTGATTTGCATATGTTGAACCATCCTTGCATCCCTAGGATAAATCCCGCTTGGTTATGAAGAGTGATATTTTTAATGTTTTTGTTGTTGAATTTGATTTGCTAGTATTTTGTTAAGGATTTTTGCATCAATATTCATCAGGGATATTGGCCTGTAGTTTCTTTTTTTAGTGTGTCTTTGTTTCATATTGGTATCATAGTAATACTAGCCTCAAAGAATGAGTTTGGAAGTATTCCTTCCTTCTCTATTTTTTGGAAGGTTTTAGTAGGATTGGGGTTAGTTCTTCTTTAAATGTTTGCTAGAATTCAGCAGTGAAGCCACTGGGTCCTGGACTTTTTTTTTTTTTGCTGGAAGCTTTTTATTATGATGTTGATCTTGTTATATGCTCTTAGTCTGTTCGGGTTTTGAATTTCTTCCCAGTTTAATGTTGGTAGCTGTATGGGTCTAGTAATTTGTCATGTTTTTCTAGATTTTCCCATCTATTGGCACATAGTTGCTCATAATAGCCACTAATCATCCTTTTAATTTCTACATTACGATTTGTAATTCCTCCTGTTTCATCTCTAATTTTATTTATTTTGAACTTTTCTCTTTTTTTCTTAGTCTGGCTAAAAGTTTGTTAATTTTGCTTAACTTAAAAAAGACTTTTTGTTTCATTATCTTTTTGTATTATTTTTTTCATTTCAAATTCATTTATTTCTGCTCTGATTTTAATTATTTCTTTTCTTCTAATTTTGAATTTGGTTTGTTCTTGGTTTCCCAGGTCTTTAAGATTAATCATTAGGTTATTTAGTTGAAGATTTTCTTCTTTTTTGATGTAGGCACTTATAGGTATAAATTTTCTTCTTAGTACTGCTCTTGCTGTATCCCACAGATTTTGGTATGTTGTGTTTCCATTGTCACTTGTTTTGAGAAAATTTTTGATTTTCTTCTTAATTTCTTAATTGACCTACCGGTCATTCAGAAGCATATCATTTAATTTTCATGTATTTATAAATGTTTTAAAATTCTTCTTTTTATTGATTTATAGTTTTCTTCCATTGTGGTCAGCTAATATACTTGATAGTATTTTAGGTTTTTGAATGTTTTAAGACTTGTTTTGTGACCTATAATATGGTCTATCCTTGAGAATGATCCATGTGTTGAGGAAAAGAATTTAATTCTGCAGTCATTGGGTGAAATATTCTGTAAATATCTAGTAGGTCCATTTGGTCTATAGTGCAGATTAAGTCCAATATTTTTTTGTTGACTTTCTGGCTCAAATATCTGTCCAATGCTGAAAGTGGGGTGTTGTAGCCTCTAGTTATTATTAAATTGGGACCATCTCTCTCTTTAGCTCTAATAATATTTGCTTTATAAATCTGAGTCCTCCAGTATTGGATACATATATATTTACAAGTGTTAAATCCTCTTGTTGAATTTACCCCTTTTTCATTATACAGTGACCTTCTTTGTCTTTTGGTTTTCATTTGCAGTAATATCTTTTTCTATTCCTTTATTTTCAGGCTATAAGTGTCTTTATAGGTGAAATGTGTTTCTTGTAGGCAACAGATCTTTGGGTTTTGTTTTTTTAATCCATTCAGCCAGTCTGTGTCCTTTGATTGGAGAGTGTAGTTTATTTACATTCAATGTTATTATTGATAAGCATATTAGTCAGTGTTCTCTAGAGGGACAGAACCAATGGAATATATATATATATAATTTATATAAATATATACAATTGTATGTAAATATAATTTATATAATTATCTATATTATATATTATATATATTATATATAATTATATATATTATAAAATTATATATATTTATATATTATATAAATATATATAAGTATATTGTATATTATATATAATATATATAAATATATTATATATATTATATATTATATATAAAAATATAAGTATATTATATATTATATATTATATATAAATATATATAAGTATATCATATATATTATATATAGTATATTATATATTATATATATAAGTATATATAAGTATATTATATATATTATATATAAATATATATAAGTATATTATATATTATATATAATAAGTATATTATATTTATATATAATATATAAGTATATTATATATTATGTATAAATATATAAGTATATATTTATATATAATATATAAGTATATTATATATAGTATATAATATATAAGTATATTATGTATATTGTATATAATATATAAGTATATTATGTATATTGTATATAGTATATAAGTATATTATGTATATTGTATATAGTATATAAGTATATTATGTATATTGTATATAGTATATAAGTATATTATGTATATTGTATATAGTATATAAGTATATTATGTATATTGTATATAGTATATAAGTATATTATGTATATTGTATATAGTATATAAGTATATTATGTATATTGTATATAGTATATAAGTATATTATGTATATTGTATATAATATATAATTATATTATCTATATTATATATAAATATAATATATAATGTATAAGTATATTATATATTATGTATAATATATAAGTATATTATCTATATTTATACATAAGTATATTATCTATATTATATATAATATATAAGCATATTATCTATATTATATATAATATATAAGCATATTATCTATATTATATAATATATAAGCATATTATCTATATTATATATAATATATAACTATATTATCTATATTATATATAATATATAACTATATTACCTATATTATATATAATTTATAACTATATTATCTATATTATATATAATATATAACTATATTATCTATATTATATATAATATATAACTATATTATCTATATTATACATAATATGTAACTATATTATCTATATTATACATAATATATAACTATATTATCTATATTATACATAATATGTAACTATATTATCCATATTATATATAATATATAAGTATATTATCTATATTATATAAGTATATTATATATATATAAAAATTTTGCTTCCTGTTCCCAAGACATTATGTTCTGCTGGCCTAGAGGTCTTAGTTTCAGAGGGAGAAACAATGCCACTGGGAGACACAACAATTATTCCATTGAATTGGAAGTTAAGATTGCCACCTGGACATTTTGGACTCCTTCTACCTTTAAGTCAACAGGCTAAGAAGGGAGTTACAGTGTTGGTTGGGGTGATTGACCCAGACTATCAAGATGAAATCAGTGTAAGGTAACTTTAATTTCACAACAAAGGTAAGGAAGAGTATGTATAGAATACAGGAGATCCATTAGGGCATCTCTTAGTATTACCATGCCCTGTGATTAAGGTCAATGGGAAACTACAGCAGCCCAATCCAGGCAGGACTACAAATGACCCAGACCCTTCAGGAATAAAGGTTTGGGTTATACCACCAGGGAAAAAAAAAAAAAAACAGAAAACACTGCTGGGGTGCTTGCTGACGGCAAAGGGAATACAGAATGGGCAATAGAAGAATGTAGTCATCAATACCAGCTATGACCCCATGACCAGCTGCCCATATATATATATATATGGGAGTTTATTAAGTATTAACTCACACGATCACAAGGTCCCACAGTAGGCCATCTGCAGGCTGAGAATCAAGGAGAGCCAGTCTGATTTCCCAAACTGAAGAAATTGGAGTCCAATTTTCGAGGGCAGGAAGCATCCAGCATGAGAGAAAGATGTAGACTGGGAGGCTAGGCCAGTCTCTCTTTTCACATTTTTCTGTCTGCTTATATTCTAGCTGCACTGGCAGCTGATTAGATTGTGCCCACCCAGATTAAGTATGGCTCTGCCTTTCCTAGCCCACTGACTCTCCTTTGGCAACACCCTCACAGACACACCCAGGATCAATACTTTGTATCCTTCAGTCCAATCAAGTCTACACTCAGTATTAACCGTCACAAGTCCAACCGTTGTCAACTTGAACACATACACATCTCCTGAGATCATACATAATCTTCAAATAAAGACAATAGTAAGGTCATAATTTTGCCTAACACAATACAACTATCCTTCATACAACTTGAAATGCAGCAATCCACAACCCAAATACTATTACATAAAGTTAACAATACTTAAATTCTGACGTGAATTCAATAAATCTTATGTCACATGATAAAGGAGAAAGGAAATAAAATGAAGATATTTTCTTAGTATAAGTGTATACATGCACAAACGTGTTTTTAATAGCAAAATGAGGAAATATTCATGACAATTACAGTCCTCATTTCTGCAGCTGGTCACGTGGTCATAGCTTGTATTGATGACTACATTCTTCTGTTGTTCATTCTGTATTCCCTTTGCCTGCAGCAAGCAACCCAGCAGGTAGTGTTTTGTTTTTTTGTTGTTTTCCCTGGTGGCATAACCCAAACCTTTATTCCTGAAGGGTCTGGGTCATTTGTGGTCCTGCCTGGTTTGGGCTGTCATAGTTTCCCATTGACCTTAATCACAGGGCATGGTAATACTAAGAGATGCCCTAATGGATCTCCTGTATTCTGTACGTACTCTTCCTTACCTTTGTTGTGAAATTAAAGTTACCTTAGACTGATTTCATCTTGATAGTCTGGGTCAGTCACCCCAACCAACACTGTAACTCCCTTCTTAGCCTGTTGACTTAAAGGTAGAAGGAGTCCAAAATGTCCAGGTGGCAATCTTAACTTCCAATTTAATGGAATGATTATTGTGTCTCCTGGTGGCATTGTTTCTTCCTCTGGAACTAAGACCTCTAGGCCAGCAGAACATACTGTCTTGGGAACAAGAAGCAAAAATTTTGCTAGTGGATCACTAGGGGTGATAGTGAGTAGTGTCACTTCCACCACTTCATTCCTAGACCCATGAATCAAGGCTATGAGAGAAACAGCACCATATATTGGACACTGATTCAGAGCATACACAGCCTTCAGGAGAACTTTGCCCCAGCCCCACAAAGTATTGTCACCTAGTTGGCATTGTAATTTTGAGTTCAAAAGGCCATTCCACCATTCTATCAATTCATCTGCTTCAGGGTGATGGGGAGCATGGTAAGATCAGTGGATTCCAGGAGAATGAGCCCACTGCCACACTTCTTTAGCAGTGAAGTGAGTGCCTTGGTCAGAGGCAGTGCTATGTGGAATACCATGATGGTGGATAAGGCATTCCGTGAGTCCATGGATGGTAGTCTTGGCAGAAGCATTGCATGAAGGATAGGCAAACCCATATCTGGAGTAAGTGTCTGTTCCAGTGAGGACAAACCTCTGCCCTTTCCATGATGGAAAAGTTCCAATATAATCAACCTGCCACCAGGTAGCTGGCTAATCACACTGAGGAATGGTGCTATATCGAGGGCTCAGTGTTGGTCTCTGCTGCTGGCAAATTGGGCACTCAGCAGTGGTCATAGCCAGGTCAGCCTTGGTGAGTGGAAGTCTATGTTGCTGAGCCCGTGCATAACCTCCATCCCTGCCACCATGGCCACTTTGTTCATGGGCCCATTGGGCAATGACAGGGTGGCTGGGAAAGAGGCTGAGTGGTATCCACAGAACGGGTCATCATTCTTTTAAATTAATAAAAATTTATAATTATTAATAATCAATTTAATAACTTGATTATTAAATTCCTCCTCTGCTGAGGTCACCTATTGGTGAGCAGTCACATGACATACAAATATCTTCACAGCTTTTGACCACTCAGAGAGGTCCATCCACATACCTCTTCCCCAAATTTCTTTGTTACTAATTTTCCAAGCATGCTTCTTCCAAGTCCCTGACCATCCAGTCAAACCATTGGCTACAGCCCATGAATCAGTATATAATTGCACATCTAGCCATTTCTTCTTCCATGAAAAGCACACAACCAGGTACACTGCTCTAAGTTCTGCCCACTGGGAAGATTTCCTTTCACCACTGTCCTGCAGAGATCTCCTAGAAAGGGGCTGCAGTGCTGCAGCTGTCCACTTTCGGGTGGTACCTGCATATCATGCAGAATCACCTGTGAACCAGGCCCTAGTCCTCTCTTCCTCTGTCAACTGATCATAGGGAACTCCCTATGAGGCCTTCAGTGCAGGCTGGGGGAGAGAAGACAGGGTGGCAGCAGTAGAGACCGTGGGCATTTGAGCCACTTCCTCATGTAACTTACTTGTGGCTTCAGGACCTGCTCAAGCCCGATCACATATATACCACTTCCATTTGATGATAGAATGCTGCTGTTCATGACTCATTTTATGGCTAGATGGATCAGAAAGCACCCAGTTCATGATAGGCAGTTCATGTTGCAAGGTGACTTGATGACCCATAGTCAAGCGTTCAGTTTCCAACAAAGCCCAGTAACAGGCCAAGAGCTGTCTCTCAAAAAAAAAGAGTAGCAGAAGATGGCAGGGCCTTGCTCCAAAATCTTTGAGGCCTCCACTTTGATTCACCTATGGGGGCCTGCCAAAGGCTTCACACAGCATCCCTATGTGTCACTGACACCTCAAGCACCATTGGATCTGCTGGGTCATATGCCAATTGGCAGAGCAGCTTGCGCAGTAGCCTGGACCTGTTACAGAGCCATCTTCTGTTCTGGACCCCACTCAAAACTGGCAGTCTTTTGGGTCACTTAATAAATGAGCCAGAGTAACACACCCAAATGAGAAATGTGTTGCCTTCAAAATCCAAATAGGTCCACTAGGCATTGTTCCTCTTTCTTGGTTGTAGGAGGGGCCAAATGAAGCAACTTATCCTTCACCTTAGAAGGAATATCACAACAGGCCCACACCACTGGACCCCTGGAAATTTTACTGAGGTACAAGGTCCCTTAATTTTAGTCTATTTCTCATCCTCTGGCACACACATATCTCACCTATAAGTCCAGTGTGTTTGCTACTTCTTGTTCACGGGATCCAATCAGCATAATGTCATCAATGTAATGGACCGGTGTGATATCTTGTGGAAGCAAAAAGTCATCAAGGTCTCTCCAAATAAGATTATAACACAAAGCCAGAGAGTTGATACACCCCTGAGGTAGGACAGTAAAGGTATATTTCTGGCCTTAACAACTGAAGGCAAATTGCTTCTGATGCACATTATGGACAAAATAAAGAAAAAGGCATTTGCTAAGTCAATGGCTGCATATCAGATACCAGGAGATATGTTAATTTGCTCAAGAAATGAAATCACATCCGGTACAGCAGCTGCAATTGGAGTCACCATTTGTTTAAGCTTATGATAATTCACTGTCATTCTCCAAGATCCATCTGTTTTCTGCACAGGCCAAAAGGGAGAGTTGAACGGGGATGTAGTGGGAATCACCACCTCTGCATCTTTCAAGTCCTTGTTGGTGGCAGTAATCTCTGCAGTCCCTCCGGGGATGCAATATTATTTTTGAATTACTATTTTTCTAGGTAGAGACAGCTCTAATGGCTTCCATTTGGCATTTCCCACCACAATAGCCCTCACCCTACCAGTCAGAGCCAATGTGGGGGTTCTGCCAGCTGCTAAGTATGTCTATGCCAATTATGCATTCTGGCACTGGGGAAATGACCATAGGATGAGTCCGGGGACCCACTGTAAGTTGGACCTGAGCTAAAACTCCATTAATTACCTGACCTCCCTAAGCCCCTACTTTAACTGGAGGACCACAATGACATTTTGGGTCCCCTGGAATCAACATCAGCTCAGAGCCAGTGTCCAGTAGTCTCTGAAATGTCTGATCCTTTCCCTATCCCCAGTGCACAGTTACTCTGGTAAAAAGCTGGAGGTTTCCTTGGGTAAGGATGGGAGAAAGATTCACTGCACAAACTGTGAGTAATGTAGTTAGGTCCTTGATCAAGGACACCCAGCCTCCCCTTCATTATCTGGGTCTGTAAACTGGCTCAAGTCTGGAAGTTGATTGAGGGGCCATGATTCTCTGTTTCTATAATTCAAATTAGTCTTATGTCCATTCAACCTAGAAGTTTTATGCTTGTATAAATTAAGTAGGAATGCAATAGGCTTCCTATCAATTTCACTTCTAGGAACACCATGAGTAACTAGCCAATACCTGAGGGCTACAAAAGTCAGACTATTCTGATTGCCACTTTGTCTTTGCTGTTTATTACAGTAGCTATGCCCACCTTGCCTTTGGTGGTTCAGTGCCCCCACTTGGCCCCTGTCACCTCAGGATCCAATTATTCCCATTGTATTTAATTGTTGTAGTTGAGCGACTGTGTTCCCACTGTTAGATCTGACATACAGAGAAAAGCAATTACAGGACTCTTCAAAGATGCAGGTGCTGCCCTCACAAATCTATTTTGCAAGGCATTGGTCAAGGGCATATCTTCTGGGCCCTCCCAAATGGAATGAGTAGGTCTAAAGTGACTAATCCACTCCACCATCCCAACCTTCCTAAGCCTTTGGATCTCTTCCTCTACACTAAATCAAGAGAGATCAGACATTTATAGCTTACTCACAGTGGGCCATCTTTTAATCTGTATTTCAGCTAACCAAGCAAATAAACTATTAGAACCTTTTGTAACTCCCTGAGCTGCAACGTTATATGCAGAGTCCCTACTTAGTGGGCACAAATCAATAAATTCAGCCTGATCCAACTCTATGTTCCTTCCACCAAAGAGGTAGTCTTTTGGTTAAATCTTCTTGGTGTTCTATAACCTTCATGTACTTAAATATTGGTATCTTTTTCTAGGTTTGGGAAGTTCTCTGTTATCTCTTTGAATAAACTTTATACCCCATCTTTTTCTCTACTTCCTCTTTAAGGACAATAACTCTTAGATTTACCATTTTGAGACTATTTCTAGATCTCATAGGTGAGCTTCAGTGTTTTTTATTCTTTTTTCTTTTGTCTCTTCTGAGTATATATTTTCAAGTGGCCTGTCTTCAAGATCACTAGTTATCTCTTCCACTTAATACATTTTGCTATTATGTGACTCTGATGCATTCTTTAGTGTGTCAATTGCATTTTTTAGCTCTAGAATTTCTGCATGATTGTTTTGAATTATTTCAATATCTTTGTTAAATTTATCTGATAGAATTCTGCATTCCTTCTCTGTGTTATGTTGAATTTCTTTAAGTTTCTTCAAATGAGCTATTTTGAATTCTTTGTATAAAAGATCCAATTCTCTGTTTCTACAGAATTGGTCTCTAGTGCCTTATTTAATTAATTTGGTTTGGTCATGTTTTCCTGCATGATCTTGATGCTTGCAGATGTTCTTTGGTGTCTGCACATTGAAGAAGTAGGTATTCATTGTAGTCTTCACAATCTGGAATTGTTTGTGCCTGTCTTTCTTGAGAAGGCTTCCCAGGTATTCAAGGGGACCTAGGCCCCAAACCCAATATAACTGTGGTTTTTTTGAGACTCGTAGAGGTACTGCCTTGGTGGTCTTAGATAAGATCCAGAAGAATTCTCTGGATTACTATGTGGACACTCTTGTTCTTTTCTCTTACTTTCTCCCGAACAAATGGAGTCTCTCTCTGTGCTGAGCTGCCTGTAACTGGGTGTGTGGTGATGTGAGCACCCCTGTGGCTACCACAACTGGGACTGTGCTGTGTCAGACCCGGAGCCAGCATAACATTAGGTCTTGCCTAAAGGCCCACTGTAATCACTACCTCACTACCACCTATGTTCACACAAGGCCCTAGGGCCTTATGATCAGTAGCTGGTGAAGACAGCCAAATTTGTGTCCTTTCCTTTAGGTTGGTGAGTTTCCCTAGGCCCTGAGCAGGTCTAAAGATGCTGTCTGGGAGCCAGAGTTTGGAGTCAAAAATAACCTCAGAAATTTGCCTAATGTTTTATTCTACTGAGGCTAAGCTGGCACTGGAACCACAATATAAAGTCTTTCTTGTTCTTCCTTCCCCTTGCCATAAGCAGAGAGCCTCGCTCTGTGCCTGCTGCCACCACTGGCCCATGGGGGGATTCTGCCAAGCCACCACCGATGTTTACTTAAAGCCCAAGGGCTCTTCAGTCAGCTTGTGGTGAATGCTGCTTAGCTTGGGACTCACCTTTAATGGCAGTGGGCAGCCCTCTGACCCAGGGCAGGTCTAGAAATGCCATCCAAGAGCCAAGGCCTGGAATCCTGGACCCCAAGAGCCTGTGTTGTACTCTACCCTACTGTGGCAGAGCTGCTATCTATGGTGTAAGACAAGTCTCCTTTACTTTTCCCTCTGCTTTCCTCAAGGGCCACATTGTACTACCTGGGTATTGCTGCTGTTTATTCAGGGCCAACACTTCAGTTAGCAGATGCTGAATCCTCCCAGGACTGGGTCCTTCCCTTCAAGGAAGTGGGTTCCCTTCTGGCCCAGGATGTGTCTAGAAATGTTGTCTAGGAGCTAGGACCTGGAAAGGGGTTCTCGCAGCTCTGACCAGTGCCCTATCCTGCTGTGGCTGAGCTGACATCCAAGATGCAAGACAAAGTCCTTCCCACTCTTCCCTCTCCTCTCCTCTCCTCAAGTAGAAGGAAGGGGACTCTTTTAGAGACATGAGATGTGCAGTCTGGGCTTAGAGGAGAGGTGGTGTCAGCACTTCCCCAGTTGTTCTGGTTGATGTCTCAGTAGGTCATGTGTTTCCCTAGTCTACTGGCTTCTGAGCCCAGCTCAGCCCTAGGACTCACCTAGGAGTTGCAGCCCTTGTTGCCTAGGCTGCCTTTCAAGTTTATTTAGGGCCCCAGAAGACTCCAGCCCGAGATAGTGAGGCTTACTGGAACTCAAGTTCCAGTTTTTGGGATGGGCCGTACTCCTCTGGCTATGGTTGGTTTAAACACTCCCTCCATGGGCAGGTGTCAACTCAATTCAGTCTGGCTTTGCTTTCTGCTATAACAAGGCAACACAGAGTTCAGTACCATATCTCACAATTGCTGCACCTTCCCTCTCCCAAGAGCACACATTTTTTTCTCTATGCCACACAGCTACTTCTGGAGAAGTGGACGGGTTGCCATTGGCTATTCAAGACTATGTTTTCTACCTTTTCCATGCCCCTTTCAGTGATATGGAGTTAAAACCAGGTACTTTGAGTACTCAACTGATTTTCGGTTCTTATTGAAGTACTTTTTTAATATTGATATTTGTTAAATTTGTGCCCTTGCAGGAGGGATGATTGGTGGAGCCCTCTATTTAGCCATCTAGCTCCTCTCCTCCTTCAATATTATTTTCTATATTGAAATTTATAACTGAGTTTATAACAGCTTCCAGATCATGTTGGATATTTAATTAAAAGAATAAACTTATAAAGAGTCTTGAGTTTATAGTTGGATGAAGAAAAATTAACTGCTTTTCTGTTTGAGTCCTCTTATGATACTGATATAAAAATGGCTTCATTTAAATTATTTTCTAAATTTTATTTCAGTTAATGAAGCCAATGTTTTAACAGCTATTGCTTTATTTATATGCATAACCAATCTGAGAACTAAAAATAAATTGATTTAGAAGAAAAATGGTTTGATCTAATTGGTGATATGCAAGTAACCCTTACAGGGTTTGTGAAGTGATTGTCTTCAGATAGATATGTTAAATTGTTGATAAAACTACTATGTCTTGAAGTAGGTACTGGTAGTTCTTTAGCAGATTTGTGTGTTCTAATTTTTCCAATTTCTGCTATTAGAATTGCCCCCCTATTGGATGGTAAACATAGACAAACAAATTACTTACTTATCATCAACTGTCCAGAGAAATGTAAATTCACTACTTAATTTTTCATTAAACATGTACTTTTTATTTTATTTTATTTTATTATTATTATACTTTAAGTTTTAGGGTACATGTGCACAATGTGCAGGTTAGTTACATATGTATACATGTGCCATGCTGGTGTGCTGCACCCATTAACTCATCATTTAGCATTAGGTATATCTCCTAATGCTATCCCTCCCCCCTCCCCCCACCCCACAACAGTCCCCAGAGTGTGATGTTCCCCTTCCTGTGTCCATGTGTTCTCATTGTTCAATTCCCACCTATGACTGAGAACATGCGGTGTTTGGTTTTTTGTCCTTGCAATAGTTTACTGAGAATGATGATTTCCAGTTTCATCCATGTCCCTACAAAGGATGTGAACTCATCCTTTTTTATGGCTGCATAGTATTCCATGGTGTATATGTGCCACATTTTCTTAATTCAGTCTATCATTGATGGACATTTGGGTTGGTTCCAAGTCTTTGCTATTGTGAATAATGCCGCAATAAACATACGTGTGCATGTGTCTTTATAGCAGCATGATTTATAGTCCTTTGGGTATATACCCAGTAATGGGATGGCTGGGTCAAATGGTATTTCTAGTTCTAGATCCCTGAGGAATCGCCACACTGACTTCCACAATGGTTGAGCTAGTTTACAGTCCCACCAACAGTGTAAAAGTGTTCCTATTTCTCCACATCCTCTCCAGCACCTGTTGTTTCCTGACTTTTTAATGATTGCCATTCTAACTGGTGTGAGATGGTATCTCATTGTGGTTTTGATTTGCATTTCTCTGATGGCCAGTGATGGTGAGCATTTTTTCATGTGTGTTTTGGCTGCATAAATGTCTTCTTTTGAGAAGTGTCTGTTCATGTCCTTCGCCCACTTTTTGATGGGGTTGTTTGTCTTTTTCTTGTAAATTTGTTTGAGTTCATTGTAGTTTCTGGATATTAGCCCTTTGTCAAATGAGTAGGTTAAGAAAATTTTCTCCCATTCTGTAGGTTGCCTGTTCACTCTGATAGTAGTTTCTTTTGCTGTGCAGAAGCTCTTTAGTTTAATTAGATCCCATTTGTCAATTTTGTCTTTTGTTGCCATTGCTTTTGGTGTTTTAGACATGAAGTCCTTGCCCATGCCTATGTCCTGAATGGTAATGCCTAGGTTTTCTTCTAGGGTTTTTATGGTTTTAGGTCTAATGCTTAAACATGTACTTTTAAATCTAATTGCTATTGAAAGGATTTACTGCAAACTAAAAGATTATTACCAAGCAATAAAATATATGTAATAAATGATAAATGACTTTGATGACAGCAATAGGCTAATCTTTATACACTCTAGGGTAGGGCTCCTTAATCTCTATGTAAAACACACACTTTTCTCATCACCTAACCCAAAATTTATCATTTTTCTCAAAGACCTCACCAACTGAATGATTGGTGGTTTAGTGCAACTCTCAGAACATGACACAATTGCTGATACAAATTCATCTGGCAGGATACTAGAAGAAGGAGTTAACTATTTAGGCATTATCACCATGCTTCCAGGACATGAAGAGGTTGGTTGTGTTTGGAATAGCTTCAGTAATGGCAAAGTAGATTGAATTGGATTAACCCTACCAGGGATAATAATTATAGACCAGACAATATGAAAAAGCAAATAAACCAACAAAACAGCTACTTGAAGGCCACTGAAGAGCAAACAAAAGTAAAGCAAACGATATGACTTTTGAGGAAAAGCAACTTATATGATACACAAAATAATTCCAGGATGGATAATAAACCTAAATAAAAAGCTAAAACAGTGAAAATTGTAGAAAAAAACACAGGAGAAGATATTCTTGATCTTGAGGTGGACGAAAGTTTCTTAGACAGGACTTGGAAAGCACTGACTCTAAGAAGAAAGAAACATTATAAACTGAACTTTATCAAAATTTAAAATTTCTGCTCATCAAGACATCTTTAAGAAACTGAGAAGATAAGTCACGTAAGTGGTAAGGAATATTTATAATACACATCCCTGACAAAGGACTTGTCTCCAGAATGTATAAATAACTCTTATAAATTCAAGTAAGTTTTCAGGCAAAGAAAAATCATTAGAGATAAAGGGGGTGAATATAATATTAAATATTTCTATATATGTACTAAATGACCATAATAATTCTAAACATGTATGCTCCTTAAATATAGCTGGAAAATATACAAAACAAACCTTGACTAACATAAAAAGAGAAATTGACAAATCCACAGTAACTAGCTGTATAACTTTTTTTCTTAGTTTCCTCTTCTGCAAAGGTAAGATGATAATACATACTTTATGTAGGAGTGACTTCAAACATTTAAAATACTTGAAATGTTTGGCACATAGTACGCTGAGTACAATAGCTATCAGTAATAAACATACATTATTATTAGGTGACTATATACCTACACTGAAATAGTGCTTTGGCCATGACTTTAATGGTAATGAATCAGGAATATAGTACATCCAGAAAAAGGAAGAGGAATTTTACCAATCTATACATAAGGCTGCCCTGGAAAGGACTAAGGTAACATCTATGGTGTGTGATAAAGTTATGGAAAGCGGCTAAATATGTGGATTCATGAGATGACAACCAATAAAAGAGTATACATTGGGGATATCCCTACACCTTCCTCTCACCTTTGCTATGAAACTAAAACTACCTTTTTTTTAAAAAAAAGAGCCGTTAGAAAAGTGTAGTGGGCTGCATAATTGTGAGCCTAAAATACAAAGAAATTTATAGTCATATTACCGAGAATCAGGGAAATTTAAACCCTTGTATAAGTATTTCAGCCACTTTTATAAATATTTCTTGTCACCGTTGATCTGAAAAATTCACAGAGTGCAACTAACAGACTTCAGGGTTGGTCTGCAAACCCTGGAGCCACCCTGAAACAGCCCAGAGAACCATGCACAACTAGGCAGAGAGAAAGCGACAGAAGATAGACTGGGTTGATTGTCTTAGGTAACGACATGTTAGGATGATGCGAAACATTGTGGAGAGAGAAACACAGATATTCCAAGGATATTAAGAACTTTTTTACTCTCCTAGATCTGCAAATTTCAAGGTTAAAAAATACATTTACAAAATTGAGATTAGGTCCTTTGGGTTGGAACAGGATTAAAATTCAGATATAATGAAAAAGGCTTCTATCAACCTCTTAGGATAACACTCCCTCTTTTGAGTGTTAAATACTTCAAATTATACAACATTTGGATTGGTTGTTTTTTAAAATGTTAAACGTTCCTGATATTTAAAGTAAGTGTAGCATTTTCTAATGTTGCCAAGACAAAATACAGGATGCCCAGTTAAATTTGAATTTTAGATAAATAACAAATAATTTTAAAATATAAGTATGTTCCATGCTAAAAATATTTGTATAAAATAGAGGAGTTTTTATTTAAAAAAACGAGCAGACAGGATAAGTAATTGTGTGTCTACTGTAGAAATACAAATTTCAGCTGCCAAGAGTCAACCTTAGTTTTTGTTTTAAGCAAACACAACTGCTTTGCAGTCTTTTCAGTATGTCCCATGCAATATTTGAAATATACTTATACAAAAATTATTTGAAGTTTTTCTGAAATTCAAACTTAACTGGTGTCCTACATTTTTATTTGCTAAACTATTCAATCCTATTTATATTAGCAAATCTGTCAAATATCATTTCTATAAATTTGATCTCTGAGGAAATATCTATAATTTTTATTCCTAAAGGCTGTAAATACTTTAGTTAAATAAAAATATATGAGGATCCAATATAATTGTTATTATTATTATTATTATTATTATTATTATTATTATTATTATTATTATTTGAGACAGGGTCTCACGCTGTTGCCCAGGCTGGAGGGCAGTGGCATGATGACAACTCACTGCAGCCCTGACCAACTGGGCTTAACTGGTTCTCCCACTTCAAACTCCTAAGTAACTGGGATCACAGGTTTGCACTATCATCCCCAGCTAATATATATGCTTCTTTTATAGAAATGAGGTCTTGCTATGTTGATCAGGTTGATCTCAAACTCCTGGATCAAGAGATCCTTACACCTCAGCCTCCCAAAGTGCTGGGATTGTAGTCATGAGCCACCGCACCCAGCTTTATTGCCCTAATTTCTGGAGATATTAAAATATAACTTTCAAGTTTGCTTGCAACCTCCTTCCTTTCCTGCCTAGAATCTCTAGAATCTGCCTTTCTCCCTGTCCCCTATCTACTACATATGTATATTTGTGTACACACACACAGACACACACACACCACACACACACACACACACACAGATAGAGAGAAAATCATATTTGGTGATTTTTTTCATTAAATTCTTAACAGAATTTTATATATTTACATGCCATGCATTCTTGAAAATAAATAATGAAGGACTGAATGGATGATTACTAAGCAATTTCAGCCCAGTTGTTCTCTCTCCTTAATATCTGTGTAATCAATCACCCAACATGTTCTTTCTGCCCACTGCACAGACCAAACCAGTTCACTGAGACCACAATATTGCAGTAGAAAAAGTTTTATTGTCACGAGGCTGGGACATGCAGGAGAACTAGGGTTATCACTTGAATTAGTCTCCCTGAAGTCTTGGAGGTTAGGGTTTTTATGGACAATTTTTGGTGGGCAGTGGGCTAGGGAATGGGTGCTACTGCTTGGTTGGGGAATTATATCATAGGGTTGTAGAAAATGGTCCTCATGCACTGAGTCTGCCTCTGGGTGGGGCCACAGGACCAGCTGGACCATTAGTCACAAGCCCGGGTGGGATAGATCTGAGAAACATGTCAAAAACCAATCTTAAATTCTACAATAGTGACATTATCTATAGAAGCAATTGGAAAAGTCACAAATCTTGTGACTGCTGGCCACATGATTCCTGAGCAGTACAGAGTTATAGAAACGACACCCATCTTGTGACCTCTGGCCTCTTGGCTCATGTGTCCTGAGCAGTAAGGGATTATAGAAACTAAACCTACATTTTAACAGAGTTCAACCCCTCTCATAATTTATTCTTGTGGCCTTTCATTAGTCTTACAAAGATGTTTTCAGTCCCTGAGCAAGGAGGGGATTCATTTTAGGGAGAAACTATTATCATCCTTGCTTTCAAGTTAAACTATAAACTAAATTCTTCCCAAAGTTAGATTGACCTATTCCTAGGTATGACCAAGGACAGCTTGCATGTCAGAAGCAAAATAGAGTAAACTACATCATATTTCTTTTACTGTCATAACTTGGCAAAGTCAGTTTCACCTATTTTTATGAAAATTGCTAATAACTTAAAATATTTTTAATTCTGCATTATTCTTGCTGTGTTTTTGTTCATCTCTTTGCTATAATCACATTGCCTCTTGCTGCTTGGTCATAGGCATGGATTTTAGATAACCAGGCCCTATTCATCCCCAGTAGAAATAGATAAAAGCACCATTGTTTCTCTTTGTCTCTAAGAAAGAAATATCTAGCCAAAGACAAAGGGAAACCTTGTCCATTAGCAACTGAGGTAGAAGACTTTAAAAAATGAAACAAAAGTTCCAGAGATATTAAACAAAGAATCTTTTGAAAAGAAGAAAAAGATATGTTTGCTTGGAACAAGAATTAATGATAGCCCCTGGCAGCTGGATTTCAAACTTAAATAATAGACACACAATTACTTATTTTACAGTGTTATCTGTTCATCTCTAAAATGAAAACTCTCTTGTTTTACATGAATATCTATCAGCATTTCTTTCTAGCCAAACTTTATCTTGATTTTTATTTTATGCTGTGATACTTAGCTGTGCTCCTAGAAGTTTGCTTTGGACAAATGGGGTGTTTTTTTTTAGCAACAATGACAACAAAATTAACACAAACATATTTTTTCTCATTTAAGCACCAAATTATTATTTTACAATAAGTACTTTTTTCCTTCACTCAATATCTTCTGCATCTTTGGAAACATAAACTAAGAAGACTGGGGATTAGAGATTAAAAAAAAAAGTTTCTGAAGTTCCCTCCCTGTTGAAAGAGGGACCTTGCTTTCCTCACTTTGAATTCATAGCCAATGACTGTGTGGCATTCTTCTACAGGGGTTGAGAGTTGCAGCATAAGAGACCAAAGACCAATCAGTGACCCACATAGGGCTGCTTTGCCTGAAAATATGAGTATAGATCCCTGAAGAACAGTGATTTAATTAGGGATGAGGCCCGTCTACCTCCCAAGTTACTGGGTAAATTTTTAGGAAGTATTTAACAGCTGATTCCTATGAATCAACTCTGCTCTCTCCAGGATAAAACTGAGTTAAATGCGGAATTGCCCAAATCAATATGCCAGTCAAAAAGTCACTAGATGAGAAGATTTAGAATGTCCCTAACACAAAGAAATGATAAATGTTTGAGGGATTAAAATGGCCAATAGGAGGCAGGACTAGCTTGCAGCTTCTGCTCAGACAGGCAGGAGTGTATAGAGACTCACATGGTGAACTTTTGCTCGAAGAACTACTGCGGGAACATATCAGGAAAGATGAGAGAATACACAGATCTTTTGAAGGAAATGGATCAATGCTGCAGGCTCCCTGAGATGCTGAAAAACTGTGAGTCTGTTTGCTTTCTCAATGGGGAGGCTCATGGTCTGGGGAAAGTTCTCAGCCCTGGTCACCGGCTGCCTGGAAATAGACTCCATGCCATTGGAGAGGCACGGTGGGAGTGAGAGTGGCCTTTAGGACTGCGGGCTACATGGGATCGGGGTGAGGTCTGTGACTGCTGGCTTTCCCCCACTTCCCTGGCAACCTGTATGACTCAGCAGAGGCAGCCATAATCCCCCTGGGAACATAAGCCCATCAGACTGGGAACCACATCCCCATTCCCCACAGCAGCTGCAGCAAGCCCCACCCAAGGGCAAGCTGAGCTCAGACACACGTATCCCTGCCTCCATCTGGTGGTCTTTCTCTACCCATCCTGGTAGCCAAAGACAAAGGTCACAATCTCATGGGAGCTCTACAGCCCTGCCTACCACCTGAGAAACCTGAATACTTAACCAGGTGTCCCTAGAGCAAGTTTGCATCCTCCCTATAGGACTGCAGCTGATGCATTCTTGAAAGTGCCACCTCCTGGCTGGAGGCCAAACCAACACAAAAGTAGTGCACTAAACAAAAACACAACCAAGGACCCACACAGAGTCACTTCACTTCACTCCCCTGCTACCTCCACTGGAGCAGGTGCTGGTATCCGTGGCTGCAAGACCTGAAGATGGATCACACCACAGGACTCTTTGTAGACACTCCCCAGTACCAGCCTAGAGCAGGGTAGCTCCACTGGGTGGCTAGACCCAGAAGAGCAGAAACAATCACTACAGTTCGGCTCTTAGGAAGCACCATTCCTAGGGTATGGGTGAGAACACCACATCAAGGGAGCATCTCATGGAACAAAAGAATCTGAACAGCAGCCCTTGAATCCCAGATC
Source organism: Homo sapiens (assembly GCF_000001405.40). Classification (NCBI taxonomy): domain Eukaryota; kingdom Metazoa; phylum Chordata; class Mammalia; order Primates; family Hominidae; genus Homo; species Homo sapiens. The sequence continues at coordinate 74,793,741 of NC_000013.11, read as the reverse complement.
TTCCCTCTGACTTAGTCTACCAAAATGAGAAGGAACCAGAAAAACAATTCTGGTAATATAACAAAACAAGGTTCTTTAACACCACTAGAAGATCATATCAGCTTACCAGCAATGGATCTAAACCAAGATGAAATCTCTGAATTGCCAGAAAAAAAAAAATTCAGAAGGTTGACTATTAAGCTAATCAAGGAGGCACCAGAGATAGGTGAAGTTCAACTTAAAGAAATATAAAACCTGATATGGGATATGAAAGGAAAATTTTTCAGTGAAATAGATAGCATAAATAAAAAACAATCACAATTTCTGGAAATCAAGGACACACTTAGAGAAATGCAAAATGCACTGGAAAGTCTCAGCAATAGAATCAAACAAGCAGAAGGAAAAACTTCAGAGCTTGAAGAGAAGGCTTTTGAATTAACCCAATCCATCAAAGATGAAGAAAAAATAATGAAAAAAAGAATAAAGCCTCCAAGAAGCTTGGGACTGTGTTAAACATTCCAAACCTAAGAATAATTGGTGTTCCTGAGGGAGAAGGGAAATCTAAAAGTCTGGAAAACATATTTGAGGGAATAATGGAGGAAAACTTCCCTGGCCTTGCTAGAGATCTAAACATCCAAATACAAGAAGCTCAGAGAATGCCTGGGAAATTCATCTCAAAAAGATCATTGCCCAGGCACACAGTCATCAGGTTATCTAAAGTCAAGACAAAGGAAAGAATCTTAAGAGTTGTGAGTCAAAAGCATCAGGTAACCTATAAAAGAAAACCTATCAGAGTAACAGCAGATATCTCATTAGAAACCCTACAAGCTAGAAGGGACTGGGGTAGCTATTCTTATATCAGACAAAACAAACTTTAAAGCAACAGCAGTTAAAAAAGACAAAGAGGGACATTATATGATGATAAAAGGACTAGTCCAACAGGAAAATATCACAATCCTAAATACATAAGCGTCTAACACTGGAGCTCCCAAATTTATAAAACAATTAGTACTAGACCTAAAAAATGAGATAGATGGCAACGAAATAACAGTGGGAAAGTTTAGTCCTCCACTGACAGCACTAGACAGGTCATCAAGACAGAACGTCAACAAAGAAACAATGGACTTAAACTATACCCTACAACAAATGGACTCAACAAGATATTTACAGAACATTCTACCCACCAACTGCAGAATATTAATTCTATTCATCAGCACATGGAACATTCTCCAAGATAGACCATATGATAGGCCACAAAACAAGTCTCAGTAAATTTAAGAAAATAGAGATTATGTTAAGTACTCTCTCAGATCACAGTGAAATAAAATTGGAAATCAACTCCAAAAGGAACCCCTAAAACCATGAAAATACATGAAAATTAAATAACCCTACTCCTGAATGATCGTTGGGTCAGCAATGAAATCAAGATGGAAATTTAAAATTCTTTGAACTCAATGATAATAGTGACACAACCTATCAAAACCACTGGGATAAAGCAAAAGCAATGCTAAGAGGAAAGTTCATAGCATTAAATGCCTACATCAAATGTCTGAAAGGGTACAAATAGACAACCTAAGGTCACACCTCATGGAACTGGAGAAACAAGAACAATCAAAACCCAATCCCAGCAGAAGAAAAGAAATAACGAAGATTGGAGCAGAACTAAATGAAACAAACAAACAAAAAGGAAACAATACAAAAGATAAATGAAACAAAAAGCTGTTTCTTTGAAAAGATAACTAAATAGACCATTAGCAAGATTAACCAAGAAAAGAAGAGAGCAGATCCAAATAAGCTCAATTAGTAACTAAATGGGAGATATTACAACTGATAAAAAAACAAAAGATTATTCAAGGCTACTATGAATACCTTTATGCACATAAACTAGAAAATCTAGAGGAGATGGATAAATTCCAGGAAATATACAACCCTCCTAGATTAAACCAGGAAGATATACAACCTCTGAACAGACTAATAACAAGCAGTGAGATTGAAATGGTAATAAAAAAAATTGGCAACCAAAAATGTCCAGGACCAGACAGATTTACACCTGAATTCTAATCAGATGTTCAAAAAAGAATGGGTATCAATCCTATTGACACTATTCCAAAAAATACAGAAAGAGGAAATCCTCCCTAAATCATTCTATGAAGCCAGTAACACCCTAATACCAAAACCAGGGAAAGACGGAACAATAACAACAACAGCAAAACAAACTACAGACCAATATCCCTGATGAACATAGATGCCAAAATCCTCAACAAAATACTAGTGAACAAAATCCAACAACATATCAAAAAGATAATCCACCATGATCCAGTGGGTTTCATACCAGTTATACAGGGATGGTTTAACATACGTAAGTCAATGAATGTGATATACCACATAAACAGAATTAAAAACAAAAATCCCATGACCGTCTCAATAGACTCAGAAAAAGCATTTGAAAAAATCCAGCATCCTTTATGATTAAAACCCTCAGCAAAATCGGCATACAAGGGACATACCTTAAGGTAATAAAAGCCATCTATGACAAACCCACAGCCAACATTGAACTGAGAGGTGAAAAGTCGAAAGCATTCCTCCTGAGAACTGGAACAAGACAAAGATGTCCACTTTCAGCATTTCTATTTAACACAGTACTGGAAGTCCTAGCCAGAGCAATCAGACAAGAGAAAGAAATAAAGGGCATCTAAATCGGTAAAGAGGAAGTCAAAAGTCACTGTTTGCTGATGATACGATCATACACCTAGTAAACCCTAAAACCTCAGCCAAAAAGCCCCTAGAACTGGTAAATGCATTCAGTAAACTCTCAGGATACAAAATTAATATACACAAATTAGTAGCTCTGCTATATACCAACAGTGACCAAGCTGAGAATCAAATCAAGAACTCAATCCCTTTCACAATAGCTGCAAAAAATTTAAATACTTAGGAATATACCTAACCAAGGAGGTGAAAGACCTCTACAAGTAAAACTACAAAACACTGCTGAAGGAAATCATAGACAACACAAACAAATGGAAACACATCCCATGCATGCCCATGGATGGGTAGAATCAATATTGTGAAAATGACCATATCACCAAAAGCAATCTACAAATTCAATGCAATTCCCATCCAAATACCACCATCATTCTTCACAGAACTTGAAAAAACAATCCTAAAATTCATATGGCACCAAAAAAGAGCTTATATATCCACAGTAAGACTAAGCAAAGTGAACAAATCTGGAGACATCACATTACCCGACTTTAAACTATACTATAAGGCCATAGTCACTAAAATGGCATGGTACTGGTATAAAAACAGGCACATAGACCAATGGAACACCATAGAGAACTCAGAAATAAAGCCAAATACTTACAGCCAAATGATCTTCAACAAAGCAAACAAAAACATAAAGTGGGGAAAGGACACCCTATTCAACAAATGGTCGGGGGATAATTGGCAAGCCACATGCAGAAGAATGAAACTGGATCCTCATCTTTCACTTTATACAAAAATCAACTCAAGATGAATCAACGGCTTAAATCTAAGACCTGGAACCATAACTATTCTAGAAGATAACATCAGAAAAATCCTTCCAGATATTGGCTTAGGCAAAGACTTCATGACCAAGAACCCAAAAGCAAATACAACAAATCAAAGATAAATAGATGGGACACTTAATTAAACTAGAAAGTTTCTGCACAGCAAAAGAAATAATCAGCAGAGTTAACAGACAAGCCACAGAGTGTGAGAAAATCTTCGCAATGTATACATCTGACAAGGGACTAATATCCAGAATCTACAAATAACTCAAATCAGCAAGAAATAAATAACCCCATCAAAAAGTGGGCTAAATAAATGAATAGACAGTTATCAAAAGAAGATATACAAATGGCCAACAAGCAAATGGAAAAATGCTCAACATCAGTAATTATCAGGGAAATGCAAATCAAAACCACAATGTGATACCACCTCACTCTTGCAAGAATGGCCATAATAAAAAAATCAAAACATAATTGATATTTGAGGGGATGTAGTGAAAAGGAAATACTTTTACACTGTTGGTGAGAATGTGAACTAGTGCAATCACTGCAGAAAACACTGGGGATTCCTTAAAGAACTAAAAGTAGATCTGCTGTTTGATCCAGCAATCCCACTACTAGGTATCTACCCAGAGGAAAAGAAGTCATTATACAAAAAAGATACTTCACATGCATGTTTATAGCAGCTTAATTTGCAATTGCAAAAATATGGAACCAGCCCAAGTGTTCAGCAATCAATGAGTGGACAAAGAACATATATATATATACACACATATATATATATACACATATATATATGTATATATGTGTATATATATGTGTGTGTGTGTGTATATATATATATATATATATATATATATATATGCAGCAACTTGAATGGATTTGGACACTATTATTGTAAATGAAGTAACTCAGGAATGAAAAACCAAACATATGTTCTCACTCACAAGTGGGAGCTAGGCTATGAGGACACAAAGGTATAAGAATGAAACATTGGACTTGGGGGACTCGGGGGAAGGAATGGGGGTTGGCAAGGAATAAAAGACTACACATTAGGTACAGTGTATACTGCTCGGGTGATGGGTGCCCCAAAATCTCAAATATCACCACTGAAGAACTTATTTATGTAACTAAACACCACCTGTTCCCCAAAAACCTACTGAAATAAAAAAAATGTTTGAAAAGTAAAGAGAAATGTAAAAAGGTATGTTATATATGCATGAAGTACATGTATGCATTGTTTTATTAATCAGATGAAGGAAGAAATTTAAATAATAAGAAAACCTCAGTTGACACGTGTACTGATACCCAGGCACAAAGCACAGACAGAAATTTTAGTAGCCACGGTGCACTTCCAAGGAGCCTTTGTCAATGACCCTCAACTTCAAAGAAGTCATGTTTGAGGGGCCATCAAGGAAGTGATACATTGATATAGGGGGCAAGGATCAGGCATGGTTTAGAATGAAAATAAAAAGTATCCTGTTCTTTTAACCAGCAAAAGACATTCAGACTTCCCTGACATCTGTATCCAATGCCCATCCTTACTCCTTTTTTTCTGATACCTTGTATCCTAGCTTATCACTCAAGAGAAATTCAGTGAGCACTTACTGTATACTCACATGTATCCATGTCAGTGCCGCCCATCAGACCGTGAACAAATATAAAATCTAGAAAAAATAACGTTTGAGGTGATGGATATCTTAAATTTCCCAGATTTATCGTGACAGATCCCCCACCAGGTTACTTAAGTGGGTTATGTCTGCTGCTTGAACCCTTGGCAGCTAGGCAATAAGCCAAGGCCATGGTTCCCAGCCAAGGAGCCAGTGTCTCTGAGAACCCAAACATCCCAGAGAGTATCTGAGAACCTACCAAGAAAAATAGTCTTATTGCTCAAACACAGTAGCAAAAGAGCCAAAAAATTACCTTAAAAGCAGTTTAGAGACAGGAGGTAGGACAGATATCCAGTGCTCTCCTGTAGCTGTCCAGGAGTTCCCTGTATGTAAGCACTAATAAACTCATCTATTTGTCAAACTGGACTTGCTTTAGTCATTCTTTGTTCTCTTGTTTCCCTCCCAGTTTGTGGAAGACATTATAGTCCCAAGTTTTTCTCACAACACTGGATTTTTTATTATACATTGTATGCATGTATCAACATATCACATATATTCCATAAATATGTGCAATTATGTATCAAAGTCTCTATTTTCTCATTTTTTTTGCATCAGATAAAGCTAAAATTTAGCTTATTCTTTTCAAGTGGTACAGTTTTTAATGTTAGGTACAGAAATAATTAAATGTAAATGTCTACTTTGGGGTAACTCCTCTATCAAAGAGAACAGATTATTTGGTAATCTTCAATAGGATAATTCTTTAGTATTATAACTACACTCAGTATAATAGCTATTAAAATAAACTTAGAATTCACTCAGCAGTAGGAAAGTTCAGAATTAGATGCCTATGTATTTTTTATTATAACATTTAATAGTATATTAAAAATGCATTACCTTTGACAGAAACAAAGTGAACACTGGAGAATAAACACACCAGTCTGTTTCAGTTCTCCTAAACCAAATAGAATTTGTGAATTAAAATTTGTGTTGCACCTCAGAGAAACGGGGATTACCTGATTGTTGGGTTATTGGCTAGTTTATTGGGACCCAAGGTGAATCTTTTCCTGTGCAAAAGTAATCAGCTGATATGATGCAGAAGACACTAGCATATCCTAATTTAAAACAGTTAAAAGAATATCTACCGACTGCAAACTATGACTAAATGAATCAATGGTATAAAATCCCTGAAGCCATGCACTTAGGCAAGCTCCCCTGCTAGGTCTGAGATACCACAGACCTAATAAGTAGTGGGCAGAAGAATACAATGTCTTAGATATAGATGACCATGAGTTTGTCCTTTGGTTTGCGATGCACTTGGCAGGATGAGGTGACTGTAGCTGGGATGTGGATGTGCCGTGTTTCAGTGGTACATACTTCACTGGGGCCAGTGATAACCTCTACAGCTATAGCAGGGAGACAGGTTTCCAAAAAACAGGCTAATTTTGTTTCCAGTAAGACAGGATTCTGAAGCTATCCATCCATATAAATTTTTAGTTAGTGTTAAGCAATTGTTGTAATTGTAATTGTTTAATTTACTAAATAAATTAATTACTTGATAAGTAATTAACTACTTTGGAGAGGTAAATGTTAAAGAAATGAGTAATAAGAGTGTGCTAAAGAACAGAACTATTTATTGAACTTGCTAACCTCAACAAGAACAAGCTCCTCACATGCCAGCAGTACACTTTGATAAAATGTTCCCTCCCTCCCTTCCTTCCTTCCTTCCCTCCTTCCTTCTTTCCTTCCTTCCCTTTCTGAGACAGGGTCATACTCTCTTGCCCAAGCTAGAGTGCAGTGGCGCAATCAGTATTCATTGCAGCCTTGACTTCCTGGGCTCAAGCAATCCTCCCACCTCAGCCTCCCGAATAGCTGGGAGTGCACCACCACACCTAGCTAATTTTTAAACTTTTTGTATTTCCCAGGCTGGTCTTGAACTCCTGGACTCAAGCAATACTCCTGCCATGGCCCCCAAAATGCTGGGACTACAGACATGAAATACCATGACCAGCTAAAGTTTATTTTCAGATGGAACAGTTTATGCTTTGTTCTATATAATCATTTTGAAAGTTTTCTATTATACAACCAGCTATCATATTGGTGGTCATGAATACATTGGTTACCTGAATTGTGCGTTAAGTGATTCAAAGCTCAGTAGGAGTAAAAGTTGGGATAACTAACACATTTTCCATGGAGTCTCCTTTCAAATGTGAACCAAAGTTCCCAGGAAAGAGCATTGCAGCCATTTTAGGAAAAGGAGGAGGAATAAAAGACACACCCAGGTAATTTCACTTACACAAGCTTGGACAGAGAGTCCCTTCATTAGTGTAAATCCAAGCTTGTGATTATGGCAATGCTATCTCTCTGAAATGAATAAGCATCACTATGTGCAACAATTTTTATCCTTCATCAGTATCTGCAGATAGGAAAAAAATACACTGAAAATCAAAAATTGCTAATGCTGAGGCTAATTTAGCACCCACTGTTAAGACAAAACTTCTAAAAAGTGTCACTTGCCAACAACAAATTAGCATTGGCCGGGTGCAGTGGCTCAAGCCTGTAATGCCAGCACTTTGGGAGGCCAAGGTGAGAGGATCACTTGAGGCCAGGAGTTTGAGACCAACCTGACCAACATGGTGAAACCCCATCTCTACTAAAAATACAAAAACATTAGCTGGGCGTGGTGGCACATGACTGTAATCCCAGCTAGTCAGGAGGCTGAAGCACGAGAATCTCTTGAACCTGGGAGGTGGAGGTTGCAGTGAGCCGAGATCGTGCCACTGCACTCCAGACTAGGCAATAGAAAGAGACTCTGTCTCAAAAAAAAAAAAAACCAAATAAATGACAAAAAAATTTGCATTTCTCACTCATCATAATTTCCAACAAGCTTTGATACTCTAGTGAGATTTTTATTCAGAATAACTATTTGTTACTGTCCTAATAAATCAGCAAATATGGTTAGAGACCATGTTACAAAGCTCCTGAGGAATGCTGTTTCCCTGCAATAAAAAGGGTACAATGTAGAACGATTGAATTATGCTGCTAAAGTAGTTTATATTTCCTTTTACATGAAGCCTAGAAGAGAGGATGCCCTCAGAGAATATAAACAATAATGACGGTTTCTTTCTAAGACATTGGAATTTTGGTGAGCAGTAACATCTTACTAGTTCTTTCCCTAAGTAATGACATTTCTCCTTTTAGAAATGTATTTACCATGTTGGCCACATAACTTTCTCCTATTTGGGCCTCAGGGCCTTCTGCATTTCTCCCGATTAGAAGCGATGAGCTTTAGTTAACCAAAAATCCCAGCGGTAAAGGGATTTTGTTAAGGGCTGTGATCAAACCCAGCTATCTCCTTCTTTACTTATTCTATATTCAGTGTCAGGCTCTTGCTGCAAATCTCTGTTACTTTTATGATTAGACAGTTTTCTCAAGGGAGATGGTCTTCCATGGAAAGAATTAAATGTGCATTAGCAAGTCTGACCCTTTAGGGTATGTTTATACTAACACTATTAGTTCTTGGATAAAATCTGTAAGGCTCAGAGCAGGAATTAAGATTTCATATATAGACCTCAGTCTCTCAGGGCATTATAAATCATTAAAACTGTCTTGGAGGCATGCTCAAGAGCCAAGGGATATCTATTAATACTTTTTATGGGTGTGGTTTCAATGGAGATTTTTAATAAATGAGCTATGATTTTTGATCCAGGCAAAGTGTTTTTTCACACATGATAAAAGTGGCTGCACAAAAATGCTGGAGACTATGTGTTTAGGCTCATGCTTACACGCACTGTAGATTCAAATTGTGTCTACTTTAAAAATCCAGAAACTAGTAATCATTTGCTTTTACTTAAAAACAAATATTGAAAGATATAATTTATTTACGAAATTTTTTTTCAGCAAGGAATTTAAAAAACATTTTACTCAGGAAAGTCATTTTGTTTCCCTGAGAATCCCATCTAAAAGTTTATGAGAAGAATTTAGTAATTCATTCCTTTGAAAAACATTAAATCATATTTCCCTTCTACAGGGAGATATGTAGAACAATTGTGTGCTTCTCCAACTTCCAAATAGTTTATATCCAATTAAAATGTCCTTGAAGGAGAAAAGCCAAAGAGTGGCAGAATTCAGACTGGATAGGTGGTGTAGCATGAGTATGTCAATCAAATTTATGGAGAGATAAATATGAAATGTGACTCCACCCTCATCCATTGTGAGTTTTTGTAGTATTGTTGGTGAAGTTATATTCCTTTTCCATACTTGCTAGTGCTGTGAGATTCCTCTACCCCCACTCCCATCTCACAATGTGGTTTAAACAGGGTCATCAGTCAAACCATGAGGATAAATCTGTGTTTATAATGTAGAAACTCATGAAGGTCAATGAATGTTCATTACCCATTGTGCCCTGCTCTTTCAGTTATGTGCATTTGAAAACAGTAATAGTTTTGTGGGACCCACTTGGACCTCCAGAGTCAGTATAAAAATAATTTTCAAGTGAAAATATTTGAGCTAAGTAAGATACAGAAAGAAATCATAACTGAACTTCTTTTATTGGGCCAATGCAGCACTTTCAGAAAATGTTGCTGCTCTGTACTCCCCTCCAAGGGAGTTTTCTGAGAATTCAGCTGCTGTGGAGACAGACTTCCCATTTTCCTTAGCATCAAAAGCCCAATAGAACCCTCCATGTCTTCCATGGAAGCCCTCCCTCCCTTCCCTGCCTCCACATTTTGTCAAATGTGGAATATAAATCCTTTATCTCTGGCTATTCAGTGAGTTACTCATCACTGAGTCTGTATAAATAAACCTTGTCTATTCTCCTTTCTTTTCTTTATCTTTCTTTTTCTTTTTGGAGATAGTGTCCCACTGTATGGCCCAGGCTGGAGTGCAGTGACACAAACACAGCTTATTGCAGCCTTGATCTATCAAACTCTCAGGCTGAAGTGATCCTCCCACCTCAGTCCCTGAGTAGCTGGGACTACAGGCACACACCACTATGCCCAGCTAATATTAAAAAAAAATTTTTTTTTTGTAGAGACAGGGTATTACTGTGTTTCCCAGGCTGGTCTCAAACTCCTGGGCTCATGCAATCCTTCCACCTTGGCCTTTCAAAGTGCTGGGATTACAGGTATGAGCCGCCACGCTCGGCGTATCTTCTTTTAATCTATTGTCAGTTAATTTGCAAGCTTCCAAACACTGGACCCAAGTTGGAAAATGAAAAGTTTTCCTCTGGACAGTGTTTTCATACAAAGCAACGAATGGGTCATTGTACAAGGAAATTGCATGGGATGGTTCTCCTTGGTAGAAATCCCAGTGGACTATCCTTTTTTGTAGAGTTAAGATTGATTCTGTGTTTCTACGACTGTTTCTTTGTTCCATACCTGTGGCACAATTAAAAGGCAAAGAATAGCTTATCATTTACATTGTAAAGCTAGAGCAAATTTGTTCAATATTTCAATATATAATATTTATCTCATACAGATGAAGCACTAATTATGCTTCACTTTATAGGGCATTGGTTTTATGATAACAAAGTTAACATTAGCTTATTTTAGAAATTGTCGTGATGCATATAGGTAACTATAAAAGGATTACTAAACTAAGGCAAGGAACATTTGGCTCTGTTTTCCTTGTGTCTGCACAAATCAAAATGTAAATTCCCAGCCAGGCGCAGTGGCTCACGCCTGTAATCTCAGCACTTTGAGAGGGCGAGGAGGGTGGATCTCGAGGTCAAGAGATCAAGACTCCGTCTCTACTAAACTCCGTCTCTACTAAAACACTACAAAAAATATCTCTGGGCATGGTGCCATGTGCCTGTAGTCCCAGCTACTTGGGAGGCTGAGGCAGGAGAATCGGTTGAACCCGGGAAGAGGAGGTTGCAGTGAGCCGAGATCGTGCCACTGCACTCCAGCCTGGTGATAGAACAAGACTCCGTCTCAAAAAAAAAAAAAAAAGTAAAGTCCCCATTTGTGGCTGGAAGCTAATCATGTGTCAGCTATAGGGAGGAATATTGTAGAGATTAGGTGAAAAGAAATACAGAATACAACCCCTCAAAACAGAGTCCAAAAGTGATTAACTATATTCAAAATAGTTTGAGGGTATTAAAGTTAATTTTGGAAGAACAAGCAGACACTAAAAGGAGGGTCTAGAGAACAAGAGGAATCAAAGGTTCATGGACAAAGTTGATGCATGAATGAAGGCTTTTGGGCAAACCAGGAAGGGACGTGTTTTCATCAGGAAGATACAGTGGAGCAAGTAGCTGGAAATTAATTTGCTGTAGCACCAGTTAGATTTAACCTAGAGAATTCCGCCTGGAGTGGCAGCTAATTTTTCTTACATTTGCTTTCCTTAAAATATTTCCACTCTAGGTTTCTAAGGGAGATTATATAGTCTTTATCCAGTAGACTTAAAAATAAACCTGGAGCCCATATAACCTAAAGTAAGAATATATAGTCAACCTACATAACAAAAAGAGAGAGGTTCTCTAAAAGAAAGTGATGTTTGTTCAGGAATGGGACATTGCAATGGGAATATGCACATCATAGTAAATTATGTGCATATTGAGGGAGTTACTCCAAATTGTAGTAGAGGATCTCTTAAGTCAGATTCTGATATCCTTTGCCAAGATATCCTTCACGTGACACGTGAAGTAGCGGATCTCTTAGGTCAGATTCTGTCGAGTTACCAGCAGAAGCTACAGATTATAAAATTTTAATAATACCATTATTCTGTCATTGAAAAGGTAACATTACAAGGGGTAAGAGTCTTATTTTGGTATGGAGTCTTACTCTACGTCTTGAGAAAAGCTGCCTGCATCGTGAAGTCATCAACTTCTTGTCCTGGTTTGCAGTCTGAATGTCGCTGGTTATGGAACCAAACAGCCTGATGAACTTTCTGTGTGGCTTGTACATCATGCATAAGACTTGTTCTTTAAAACTAACTTAAGGTGATAGGGCTTTAGAAACAGAGCAGTTCCTATTTTTAATAATTCCATGGAAGAAACTTGGATAGGAGGAAGCTAGAAGAATTTAGGATTTAGTCTAGTCAATAGGTAGATAACAAGAACTTGAAACTAATGCACAGGCCTATAATCTAATACTGGTGTATAATAGTGTTACTTTTAGAAACGTAACTTTTTTTCTTTACATGATTACATAGGAATCTCAGATTCAAAAACCTTTTGAAGCTAGAAAGCCAAACCAGGGCAGATTTTCGATTTTAACTACTGTTTTAAGATTACTGGACCTGCTAGGCAGTGACAACTTTCACTCACTCACTGTAAAACTAGGAACCTTTGAAGCCAGGCTTTTTCTATGTACATTCTCAAATATTATATTCCAATCAAAGCCTTCGTAATATAACCAATGTTTCTAATTGTGCTCTGTTGTAAAGAGAGCAGATTTTTATTGAACTTATGCAAATATCCATATTGCCATAACAGTACTCATAAATAGTTCCTGAATGTCAGAGGGATCAACTAGGGAGAAAAGGCAAATGTTTCCATCTTTGTTCAAAAAGTATACTTTACCAAATTGCTGTAAGCTATAGATAGCTAAAGAGAGAACATTTCCTTAAATCTGGAAAACAAAACATTTAAGTAATGATCCAACAATGTTTCAAATAAAAGTCATAAAAACAATACCTTCATCAATGTACTTAATCACATGTAATTGATTTTTGTTCTCCTTGATTTTGATCAGCAGCTTCCTAAATCCATCTGTCGTTTATTAGAGTTTTGGAAAATTTTTATTTAGTCCATTGATCTTAAAGTTATTGGAAACCTGTATATGACAGTATATAGGGTATCAAGTTATGGAAGATACTGTTAGTATTCTAATATTCTCTTTCCCTTCCCCAGGAGGTGAGAATGATGGGAAGAAAAGGCAAATTGGAATGTTAAGCTATTGTGCCTTCTGTCTTGTTGTCTTTTGTAACGTGGCCCTCTTGGCTACCGACTGTGTGACATTTCCTGCCAGCTTTGTCAAAACTGCAGTGTCTACTCAGATCATGATTAATTGCAGCTGAGAGAATTGACTACTAAGTTGCATAAGAATAGGGTCAAAATTGTGTTTTTTATAACAAGCCAAATAAAAACATAAATGTCATCATTAGGCGTGAATCCATATTGATGGTGGTATAGTAAAAGACACTGGAAACAATTGTGAAAAGTGTATTGTACTGGGGATTAGAAAAACAATTTAGATCCACCCTGTTTATTACTAGTTTGTGCCCTCAATCAAGCTGCTTTTGGGAGGCCTCACACTCAATAATTGTACATTGCTGAATTGTAGCACATACTGTCAGAATTTGGAACTCCAAAAATGTCATTCTGCATAAAACGAGTAGAATTGGGATGACATAAATACTCTGTGGAATAGGAAATCTTACAAAATAATTTCAAAACAGGTTTCTGGTGTTGCTATTATGAATTGAGGAAAGGTAAAGTTCTCTTTAGTTGAGTCCTTCATTTCATGAGGTGTAGGCAAAAATTGGGATTTTTCCTGAAAGCTATGCATCAAAACTTTGCCTAGCTCAACACAAAACTATTAAGTCTGAGTGTATTATTACTGTTAGTAATTATAGTTTGGGGAGAAAAAGTGGAATGATGGAGCTGGACTAAATTCCTTGCCTTGAAGACTTGGAAAAATAAAGGAAGTTGAGGCAAAGGGTACCCAAGGTTTAGAATCATACTCCTGTGTCTGCAGCGATAAGGCCAGGGGCAAATGTCCTGCTGTGTGTGATCTTCTCTGGCATGAGTTTATACAAAGTGAACCTAAGGCTAAATAACTCAGTCTCAGTACTGGGACAGAGATTAAGAAACTGCCTTGGCTCTACCAAACATCCCAGTTACTTTGTATATCTGAAGCCAAGATGAAAACAAGTCTTTGACTTCTGAAGCCAAACAAGTTTTTCTTTGTTTGTTATGATGCATAGACATTAATGTTCACAAGTAAAAAGTCAACCAAAATTTTCTACACAAGAAGTTGGATTTTTTTTAAAAAGAAACTTATTTTTCTTAGAGTATTAGAAAGTTTTTGAAATGAAGAAGTCAATAGTCTTGGAAATCATACTGTCTCAAGCTCAAACTCCTCTGTGGAGCTTTGTTAGACCATCTTTTTAGCCATGATTCAAGAAAGACTCTTCTAGCCTAGCGAATAAGCATTTAACAAATATCTGAGCCATATTTCTTTCATAACAATTTTATCTCATGATTTCCACATCCAAAAGCAGTTGGGGTAAAAGTAAATTTAAACAATATCCTGGAAAAGATGTTGCTTACTTTTTAGTACTGATATGTATGCAATATTTAGCATCTATCATTTTTTATTTGCTGTTTAAAAATCAGAGCTAAATTTGTTTAAGTTATTAAACGGGTCCAGTACAACACAGTAATGAAAATTCTTATTAGGTTACCATCTCTGATATGTTACATAGTTTCCTGCTTAGAAGAATCACTGTTGTGCCAATTTTTTCTACATTTCTCATCACACTCAGTTCCTTATGTCAAACACCATGTGATGGCCTTTGATCAAAAGCAAAAAAATCTGACCAGTTAAAACAAATAGAAGAAATGGGCAATGATGCTTCAGAAATATTTGTTTGATTACCTAAGTGTAAACTGGATTGTATCTTTTAAACTTTGGTTTGCATCCTATTATAAATCGCTATTTTAAAGATTAATATCAATTTATCCTAATATTAAAGACTTTCGTATTTTGGTGACATCAGTTACACTGCAGAAAAAAAATATTTTCTAAGATAAGTTACACAACCTTGTGGATAATCAGTATGATCTTGTAGAACAGCTTATTAGCTATAAAAGATTAAGTGACAGTTTAAAAATATTGCTTGGGATCATCTAAACTCATCCCATTAGAAGATAAAAGCAGTATACATTTAACATTGAAGCTGAAGGTTTTTTAATCAGGTGATTATATCTATGGCTATGTGACCTTCTTAAATAAAAGCAATATGGGAAATTCGATTTTCAAATGGTAGAGAATATTAAGTTATCCAGGGAGAAACTGGTGTAAGGTCAAAGAGCAATAGGACTGAGAAAATTGTAATGATTATAGAATAATTAAGCTCAGTTTTTTTCTACTTGAAGACAGAGAGGGCAAAACCATAAAACTCTTCATTGGCTATGTCCTTATAACTTTTCTCTTGTGGTTATTCTTGAGAAGTAAGAGGGACTCAGCTTAAAAATGACATACGAATTTCAGGGATGATACCTTAATTTTTCTACTGTTTTTGTCTTTATTTTACTATTTAAGACATGTTATGTTTCCCACATTCCAGAGCTTCAACTTTTCCATTAATCCATTTGTGCTTTTTGGTGACGTAATCATTTTTAAATTTGAAGAATAATCACTTATAATCTCTTTTACCTAGCCCATCTTTACATGTGAAGTGTTTCTTCATAACTGGTCAACCTTTATACTTAGTGAACCAGACACTCTCTGTCTGAAAGCTTCAGGTACTCCTGCTCGTTGTGTTCTTCCAAGGCACTGTGAACTTTCCTGAGGGTTATTCTGTCGACTGTAGGGTGAATATCATGTGGATTTTTCTGTCTTATTTTGGATGTGCAGGAAAGTACACACATAGGCAAAAAGTCCCTAGTGGAGAAGGCACTGATTAACCTCTGCTCACACCCAGGCTGCCCATTGCTACTAGTTTAAAATTTCTTATTGTTACTCCTTTCTTGAAACACTTGCAGTAGATCTTCATTATTTATAGACAAAGGAAAAAAATTCTCTATCTAGCATTCAAAGGTTCTCAGAATGGGCCCTGTCATCTTTACTCCTCACTCAAAGAAATCTAGCCTCTTCTCTGGGTTTGATTTTAGCCTAGAATCTGTCTCTAGATTAAAAATAAAAATAAAAAAAAGAGTCCACAGTCAATTTCACTGCTCTGGGATGAAGTCAAGCTCATGCTAGATCCTTGCCCTGACCTTGTGCCTCACTTCCAGTGGCTTAGTGTTGCCCCAAAACAATTCCAATATCCCTGTCCCTGGGAACATAAACATCTATAATTTTCCTTCCAGCTGGAGGTGGGTATGTGACTTAATTTTGGGCAATAAGATGTAAGGCACATCTCCTGTGAGCTTCTCAGAAATATTTTCCCCATGATTAAAAGGCAGAGGATCACAGAAACAGACCAATGCCTGTTCTCCATTCTTTCACTTTCAGACCATGTGTGAGCTGGTGTGACTTTTGCAGCTTTCACAACCAATTTGCGACCCAAAAGCAATAAACCAGGGTCCCAAAGCCAATATGAGGAAGGCAGCAGGGGAGGGAGAGGATGGTGTGGGGAAATTCTTGGGTCTTGATCTCCAAGCCGTCTTTGGGAATGCTTAACTCCAGACTTCTTGCCAAGTTAACAATAAATGCCAGAATGTTTAAAGGAAAAATGTTAATTAGGGAACTACTGTATCCAAACCATGTTAACTAATACATTAAGTTTCTGATCCATTCACCAGCCCCATATCTCCATTTCTGTTTTGGTTCTTTGCTAGATACCAACATTTTTTCAACACTAGAGTTTATCCATGTATCTCCACATCCCTAAAATTTGCTGATGGACCTCTCCTATGCTCACCTCAAGTTTACTTGCTCAGGTTTCTATCTACTGGTTGTATATCAGTGATACAGAGTCCACCTGTGCTCTGGCTCTCAGGAATATTCCCGGATGGCTCTGCTCAGTTCTGCCTTGCTCAGGGAGTGGAGTTCCCTCTTCACCTGAGTTATCCAAGTTCCTCACCCCCAGGAGCTTCCAAATGTCCACAATTGTTGGGCCATGGTGGATCATAGGAAGTGACATAGTGAAGTCTGGCTCTACATGTGTAAACAGTTGGGTTCTAAGTCCTTTCCACTTTTCTCCTTTATCTATGCAAGAAAAGAAAAGAAAAAAAGAAAGAAAAAAGAAGATAATCTTTCTCCATTTTTATTTATGATGTCTCACTGTGTTGTCAGGCTGGTCTTGAACTCCTGAGGTCGAGCAATCCTCTCACCTTGGCCTCTCAAAGTACTAGGATTACAGGCATGAGCAACCATGCCCAGCCTCTCCCACTTTTAGGAATTGCATTGTTTTTCAGAAATTGCATTGTATCTGCTCTCTCCTCTCCAGAATGAATAACTCCTCACTCTATCTTAGCTCTTTCTTTAGTCCCAAATTTGCCTTGTCTTTGAGGAAAATATACTTTACAAACATGTATCTGAACTAAATGTAGGCAAGTGTCTTTGAGTCCTTGTTTCCCCTTAGTTGTAGGCTAGGGGAAAGAAAACTAGCCTTCAGGGTATCAGTAAAAGAACATAGGATAGAAAACACAGAACCATTCAGATAACATAACTTTCTCGCACGTACTACCCTCTTTATTACCTAGTCCCCATTACAGTTTCTCATGTGTGAGTTTAGGAATTTCTAGTTGATAGGGCAACTAGGATAGCAAAGTTCTAGTGTCCAGAGCAGGCCAGTGATGGCCAACACATAAGGTAGCTGGAGTAAACCGAGGTAGGGATCTTGTTTTTAAAGTGCCAAGGCTATAATAGGGAAGGCATTCCTCTTTATCTTAAGGTGAGTTGTCATATGAAATAGGTGGGATGATTTGGGAGACTGGCCACTAAGTGGGATAATATCATCCCTAAACAATTTATGAGTAAGGGCTGAGACAAATGAGTTAGGCTAGATGAAGGGACTGAGCATATCCTATCCAGTACATGTATGAGAGTGAGAGCAGCCCCTTAAAAATCAGTCACATGATATTCTCTGTAGCTGTGCTTCTAATATGGCAGCCAACAGCTACAGGTGGCTATTAAGCCCTTGAATTGGGCTAAATCCAAGTTAAGATGTATTGTATGCATAATATACACACTAGATTTTAAAGATTTAGTCTGAAAAAAAGTGTAAAATATCTCATTAATAATTCTTATTTTATATGAACTACACGTTGAATATTAATTACACTGTAATCAGTGCTTCGTCTTTACCTTCATCTTCCCAAACTGTTGTTGACAGGTTGGTAAATATTATTATGTGGCCAGGTGCAGTGGCTCATGCCCATAATCCCAGCACTTTGGGAGGCCAAGGCAGGAGGATCACTTGAGCTCAGGCATTTGAGACCAGCCTGGGCAACACAGGAAGACCCCATCTCTACAAATAAATGTGAAAAATATTAGCCAGGGGTGGTGGTGCCTGCCTGGAGTCCCAGTGACTCGGGAGGCTAAAGTGGGAGGATCCCTTGAGCCCAGTAGGTGGTGGTTGCAGTGAGCTGAGACCCTGCCACTGCACTACAGCATGGGTGACAGAGTGAGAAATAACACTTTGGATATATTAAGTTGAAATAACATTTTGGATATATTAAGTTAAATAAAGTATATTAATAAATTTTCAAAAATCAATCACACAGATTGGAATTCCAAGCACCCACCAGCTTAGAGCACTGCCTGGGCCAACAAGGAGATCTCACTGTGGGAAGATACGTTGCCTAATTTGAAAGCTTAGAATGTAAACTCTGTGGAGCCCAGTAGCCTATCCATCTCCAGATCCTAGAATAGTGCCTGGCACATGTTAAGTCTACAAAAATATTTGAATTAATTAATTAATGACCTTCTAATAATGCCGAGACAATGTTTCTCCTAGGTCTATTAGCCTCTGAGCTCAGTTCTGGCCATGACTCTCCTGGGCCATGTTGTCAATGACTAGCTACAATAGATGGGTAGAGGGATCTATGGATGGATTGACAGACGGTGTAAATCAAAAAGTGTCTGAGATCGATCTTAATTGATTTAGAGGTTTATTTGGCCAAGATTGAGAATGCGCCTCGAAAAAACAAAAAACAAACAAAAAAAGCCACAAGTTACAAATACGATCTGTGGCCTGTGCTTTTTCCAAAGAAGTTTGAGGACCAATATTTAAAGAGAAAGGAGCAGACAGGAGGGAAAGGAAGAGAAGAAAAAGAAAAGGAGGAAGGTAGGCAGTATGACAAGTGGTTACTTTGATTAGTACTCACCAAATCCATATTTTACATATGAAAAGAGGAGTGGAGGGGAAGTGATTATGCATTCATCTCACTCTTGGTAGATCTACATTTTACATAAGACAAAGTAAGCATGTGAAATTACAGCTGTTTGGGAAGAAATGTAGCTTTTGTGTGACTCAGTGCTCAAGCTGAACCTTCCCTTTGTCATAGTGAGTTTGGGTTCTGAGATTTTATTTTCCTTTCGCAATAGACAAAGACATGCAGTATGGGCCTTTTTTTTTTTTTTTTAGCTTAATCTACTGTTCCCTCAATTTCTTAAATATATTCACAAAGATGGTGCTTTCATAGATAGAAAGGTGTTTTTAAAATGTCTATAATATGTAAGTTTCCAGGGAAAACTAGAAATTTATTATGATAGCTTACATATACACACAAAATAAAATAAAGTGGTTTTTACCCCCTTTATCTTTGGGTGATCTAATTTCGATATGAATTAGAGATAGTTGGGGAGGATCATTGTAATAGCTCTTTATTGGTCCAACTGGCCCTTGCTGATGTGTAGAGAGATATATTTTCATCCTGGCATTCCTGATCCACTTTCCCCACATTACTTCCCTCCATGGTGCCCTTCATATTCTTCATACTATACATTTGCCTTTGTGATTATTGTCCGTCTCCCTTAACTAAGTTTCAAGAAGGCAAGCACTGTTTTGTTCACAGTGCCTATGGCAGAGCCCAGCAAGTGGTAGGTGGTCAACATATATTTTTTAAGTGAATGTTTCAATGAATGATTAAAGTGGATGTGTGCTCAGCATCTCTAAGAAGAATTTCAGAAGGAATTGTAAAGAAGAGCCATTCCTTGCCACAAGTACAACCCCAGGCATGGAATGTTACCATAAAGGAAACGTAAGAAAAGGTGTGAAGAAGGGAGAAAAATAAACTTAGACAAATTGTAATTTGATTAAAAAGAGAAGGATAAAAATGTTGAATTATTTTTATTCCAGAAATAAAATACATCCTTGGATTCATGAATTCTCTAATTTTGTGTGTTGCCAAGTAAAGTTCGACCTGCAATAAGCATAAGGAAAAATATTCTCTCATAATGTTTAGCTGAATTTATAGAAGATAGTGAAGATGCAACTCTATTTTTGTCACACTGTGATGCAATAGCATTTTGCATTTCCTTAAATAAATGCCAAAAATATGAGGCACATGATAGAGGATCCCAAAGGATGCAAAATCTCTCCTGGCAGACACTGAGGAAAGATAAAATTAAAACAAGGCAACTGATTAACCTTGACTGGTTTATAGCTAGAATAAAATTAGAGAAATGTTTGAATAAAAGCACACTCCTCTTTTTTATTTTATTTTCTTGAGGCAGTGTCTTGCTCTGTTTTCCAGACTGGAGTGCAGTGCAGTTGTGCGAACACGACTCACGGCAGCCTCTACCTCCTGGCTCAAGCAATCTTCCCACCTCAGCCTCCTCAGTAGCTGGGATCACAATGCAGGCCACCACAATGGCTAATTATTGTTATTTTTTGTGTGTGGAGATGGGGTCTTGCTATGTCACCCAGGCTAGGCTTGAACTCCTGGGCTCAAGCAATCCTCCTGCCTCAACCTCCTAACATGTTGGGGTTACAGGCATGAGCCACTGCGCCCAACCTCTTAATTTTTAATTGTATGGAGTTATGGTCATTTCAGAACCTTCAATTTTCAAGAATAATATTTTTCATATCTTCCTTTCCTCATTCTCTTGTAACTTCCTTTGAACTTTTTCTACAGAAGTCTTGTTTTCTGCACAGTTTATAATTTTCATGATAAAGCAGAAACAAAGACTTGAAGAAGACACTTGCCTAAATTTAAGGTGGGAGATTCAGATACACGTTTGCAAAGCAATATTTTGTATTCCCAAAGAAAAGGCAAACCTGACACTGGAGGAAGGGGAAGAACAAAGCAGAGGAGTTACTCACTCTGCAGAGGAAGAAGCAAAAACATGATTCCTAACAGTTGGAGGAAAGGGAAGGATTGTTTCTTGCATAGATCCAGGAGCAGAGGGAAAACGACTCATAGCAAATACTGTAAAATTAAAGAAAGTTGAACCAAATGGTTACAATGTTTGAGTTCACACTTAGATGAGGGTGGGTCCTTCGGGCCTGGCATGATAGTGGTAGGAAAAACAGAAGTGAGAGAACCCTAAAGAGCAGGTTATCTTGGAGATAGAGGAATGTTGCCATTAGTGTATTGAACTGCTTAGAATGTGTTTCCTCTAAGAACTTGGAGGATTCAACAGATATTTATCAGGCATTTTTCAGGCTCCTGAGCTGCTATGATAGGGCAGAGACTGGCACAAGGATGAGACACAGTCGTCCCTGACCTTGAAGAATCGAATGAGTCCTAGGTTGTGAAATTTGTTTTAATAAGAACAATTTCATCTCAGAAGTTAAAGTCAGATGATTCACAGTAAAGAAATTTATCTAGACCATAGACTATTTCAAATAAAATGAAAGTCATTCTTTGCAGACATCATCATTGACCACAACATGGTCCTTGTAATATATTTTGTTACTCTGCCATCCTCTGGTAATCTGAACTGTAAAACCAGTTATAGCTAGTGGCAGGCAAGATCATCGTCTACTAATAAATACTAATATTTTTCTAGATACAGGCAAACAGAAAATGACAATAGAAAAAATATTCTTTAAGAATATGAAGAGCATATATTTAACAGGAAGCAATACGTGGCTTTGTAAAATACCAGACTTCCCAGGAAGCAATACTAAAGATATTCATACTAATTAGATATTTTATGGAATGATGTTGTTTGCCCAAGGATGAGAAAAACAACCATCCTGTCTTGAAAACAGACTAGCACTAGAGAGAAACAAAGCCTTACGCCTGGAACTGC